>NC_000003.12:81525151-81828181 GCF_000001405.40 Homo sapiens
ATTTTAGGATTTCCTTTGTGGCCTAACATATGGTCTATTTTTAAGAATGTTCCATCAATACCTAATTTATTGAGAGTTTGTAGCATGAAGGGCTGTTGAATTTTGTCAAAGGCCTTTTCTTCATCTATTGAGATAATCATGTGGTTTTTGTCATTGGTTCTGTTTATATGCTGGATTACATTTAGTGATTTGCATATGTTGAACCAGCCTTGCATCCCAGGGATGAAGCCCACTTGATCATGGTGGATAAGCGTTTTGATGTGCTGCTGGATTCGGTTTGCCAGTATTTTATTGAGGATTTTTGCATCAACGTTCATCAGGGATATTGGTCTAAAATTCTCTTTTATTTGTTGTGTCTCTGTGAGGCTTTGGTATCAGGATGATGCTGGCCTCATAAAATGAGTTAGGGAGGATTCCCTCTTTTGTTATTGATTGGAATAGTTTCAGAATGAATGGTACCAGCTTGTCCTTGTACCTCTGGTAGAATTCGGCTGTGAATCCATCTGGTCCTGGACTTTTTTTGGTTGGTAAGCTATTAATTATTGCCTCAATTTCAGAGCCTGTTATTGGTCTATTCAGAGATTCAACTTCTTCCTGGTTTAGTCTTGGGAGAGTGTATGTGTCGAGGAATTTATCCATTTCTTCTAGATTTTCTGGATTATTTGCGCAGAGGTGTTTCTAGTATTCTCTGATGGTAGTTTGTATTTCTGGGGGTTGGTGGTGATATCCCCTTTATCATTTTTTATTGCATCTACTTGATTCTTCTCTCTTTTCTTCTTTATTAGTCTTCCTAGCGGTCTATCAATTTTGTTGATCTTTTCAAAAAACCAGCTCATGGATTCATTGATTTTTTGAAGGGTTTTTTATGTCTCTAATTCCTTCAGTTCAGCTCTGATCATAGTTATTTCTTGCCTTCTGCTAGCTTTTGAATGTGTTTGCTCTTGCTTCTCTAGTTCTTTTAATTGTGATGTTAGGGTGTCAATTTTAGATCTTTCCTGCTTTATCTTGTGGGCATTCAGTGCTATAAATTTCCATCTACACACTGCTTTGAATGTGTCCCACAGATTCTGGTATGTTGTGTCTTTGTTTACGACAAACCCACAGCCAATATCATACTGAATGGGCAAAAACTAGAAGCATTCCCTTTGAAAAGTGGTACAAGACAGGGATGCCCTCTCTCACCACTCCTATTCAACATAGTGTTGGAAGTTCTGGCCAGGGCAATCAGGCAGGAGAAAGAAATAAAGGGTAATCAATTAGGAAAAGAGGAAGTCAAATTGTCCCTGTTTGCAGATGACATGATTGTATATCTAGAAAACCCCATTGTCTCAGCCCAAAATCTCCTGAAGCTGATAAGCAACTTCAGCAAAGTCTCAGGATGCAAAATCATGTGCAAAAATCACAAGCATTCTTATACAACAATAACAGACAAACAGAGAGCCAAATCATGAGTGAACTCCCATTCACAATTGCTTCAAAGAGAATCAAATACCTAGGAATCCAACTTACAAGGGATGTTAAGGACCTCTTTAAGGAGAACTACAACCACTGCTCAATGAAATAAAAGAGGATACAAACAAATGGAAGAACATTCCCTGCTCATGGGTAGGAAGAATCAATATCATGAAAATGGCCATACTTCCCAAGGTAATTTACAGATTCAATGCCATCCCCATCCAGCTACCAATGACTTTCTTCACAGAATTGGAAAAAACTACTTTAAAGTTCATATGGAACCAAAAAAGAGCCCGCATTGCCAAGTCAATCCTAAGTCAAAAGAACAAAGCTGGAGGTATCACGCTACCTGACTTCAAACTATACTACAAGGTGACAGTAACCAAAACAGCATGGTACTGGTACCAAAACAGAGATATAGACCAATGGAACAGAACAGAGCCCTCAGAAATAATGCCGCATATCTACAACCGTCTGATCTTTGACAAATCTGACAAAAACAAGCAATGGGGAAAGGATTCCCTATTTAATAAATGGTGCTGGGAAAACTGGCTAGCCATATGCAGAAAGGTGAAACTAGATCCCTTCCTTACGCCTTATATTAAAATTAATTCAAGATGGATTAAATATTTACATGTTAGACCTAAAACCATAAAAACCCTAGAAGAAAACCTAGGCAATACCATTCAGGACATAGGCATGGGAAAGGACTTCATGTCTAAAACACCAAAAGCAATGGCAACAAAAGCCAAAATTGACAAATGGGATCTAATTAAACTAAAGAGCTTCTGCACAGCAAAAGAAACTACCATCAGAGTGAACAGGCAACTTACAGAATGGGAGAAAATTTTTGCAATCTATTCATCTGACAAAGGGCTAATATCCAGAATCTACAATGAACTCAAACAAATTTACAAGACAAAAACAACCCCATCAACAAATGGGCGAAGGATATGAACAGACACTTCTCAAAAGAAGACATTTATGCAGCCAAAAGACACATGAAAAAATGCTCATCATCACTGGCCATCAGAGAAATGCAAATCAAAACCACAATGAGATACCATCTCACACCAGTTTGAATGGTGATCATTAAAAAGTCAGGAAACAACAGGTGCTGGAGAGGATGTGGAGAAATAGGAACACTTTTACACTGTTAGTGGGAATGTAAACTAGTTCAACCATTGTGGAAGACAGTGTGGCGATTCCTCAGGCATCTAGAATGAGAAATACCATTTGACCCAGTCATCCCATTACTGGGTATATACCCAAAGGATTATAAATCATGCCGCTATAAAGACACATGCACACGTATGTTTATTGCGGCACTATTCACGATAGCAAAGACTTGGAACCAACCCAAAGGTCCAACAATGATAGACTGGATTAAGAAAATGTGACACATAAGCACCATGGAATACTATGCAGCCATAACAAATGATGAGTTCATGTCCTTTGTAGGGTCATGGATGAAGCTGGAAACCATCATTCTCAGCAAACTATCATAAGGACAAAAAACCAAACACTGCATGTTCTCACTCACAGGTGGGAATTGAACAATGAGAACACATGGACACAGGAAGGGGAACATCACACAGTGGGGCCTGTTGTGGGGTGGGAGGAGGGGGGAGGGGGGAGGGATAGCATTAGGAGATATACCTAATGTTAAATGACGAGTTAATGGGTGCAAGCACACCAACATGGCACATGTATACATATGTAACAAACCTGCATGTTATGCACATGTACCCTAAACTTAAAGTATAATTTTAAAAAAAGACAATCATAAAACAAAACAAAACAAAACAAAAGAATGTTCCATGAGCTGAGGAGAACTTGCCTTTTGCAGCCGTTGGATGAAATGTTCTGTAAATATGTATCAGGTGCATTTGGTCTATAGCACAGATTACATCTCAGGTTTCTTTGTTGATTTCCTGCCTGAAAGATTTGTCCAAAGGTGAAGGTGGGGTATTGAAGTCTCCAGCTGTTATTGGATTGAGGTGTATCTCTCTCTTTAGCTCTAATAATATTTGCTTTATATATATGGATGCTCCAGTGTGGGGTGCATATCTAGTTGTTATATTCTCTTGTTGAATTGACCCTTTGTCATTATATAATGACCTTATTTGTCTCTTTTTATAAGTTTTGTCTCACAATCTATATTATCTGATATTCATGCAGCTACTCTTGCTGTTTTATGCTTTCTGTTTGCATAGAATATCTTTTTCCATCCCTTTATTTGCTAGTCTATGAGTGCTTTTATAGGTGAAGCATGTTTATTGTAGGCAGTAGATATTTAGGTTTTGTATTTTTATCCATTAAGGTACTCTGTTTTTGATTGGAGAGTTCAGTCCATTTACATTTAATGTTATTTCTGATAAGGACTTATTGCTGCCATTTTGTTTTTTGTTTTCTGGTTGTCTTGTTGTCTTCCTTCTTGTCTTCCTTGTTGTGAAATTGATTGGTGATATGTTTTAATTTCTTGCTTTTTATTTTTTGTCTATCTGTGGTAGGCTTTTTGATTTGTGGTTCTCATGAGGCTTGCAAGTAACATCATATAATCCACTATTTTAAACTGATGACAACTTAACTATGATTGCAAAAACAAACAAGCAAAGAGAAAAACTGATAAAAACTCTACCTTTTAACTTCATCTTGCCAGCATTTTAACTTTTTGTTTGTATTTATATCTTATTATAATTTTGTCTATGTCTTAAAAAGCTGTTGTAGTTAGTTCGTGCAACACAGTTGAGGCCTTATCATATTCCATATTTGTCTGTGTACTTATTATTACGAGTTTTGTGACTTAAGGTTATTTCTTATTGCTTATTAACATCCTTTTCTTTAAAACTGAAGTACTCCCTTTAGCATTTCTTGTAGGTCAGGTTTAGTGTTAACAAAATCCCTCAGCTTTTGTTTGTCTGGGAAAGTCTTAATTTCTCCTTCATATTTGGAGGATATTTTTACTGGATATAACATTCTAGGATAAAAGTTTTGTTTTCCTTCAGCACTTTAAGTACGCCATGCCACTCTCTCCTGGCCTGTAAGGTTTCCACTGATAAGTATGCGGCTAGATGTATTGGAGCTCCTTTGTATGTTATTTGTTTATTTTCTCTTGCTGCTTTTAGGATCCTTTCTTTATCCTTGGCCTTTGGGAAATTGATTTTTAAATGTCTTGAGGTAGTATTATTTGGGTAAAATCTGCATTGTGTTCTACAACCTTCTTGTCCTTGAGTATTGATATCTTTCTCTGGGCTTGGAAAGTTCTCCGTTACTATCTCTTTGAATAAACTTTCTACCTGAATGAATCAGTCTCTCTCTCTCTCTCTCTCCATCCTCTTTAAGGCCAATCACTTTTAGATTTGCTTTTTTGAGGCTATTTTCTAGATCCTGTAGGCATGCTTCATTCTTTTTTGTTTTTTGTCTTTTCTATGCATTTTCACATACCTTGTCTTCAAGCTCACTAATTCTTCTGCTTGATCAATTCTGCTCTTGAGAAACTCTGATGCATTCTTCAGTTTGTCAACTGAATTTTTCAGCCCCAGAATTTCTGCTTGATTTTTTCAAAAGCATTTCAATCTCTCTGTTAAATTCATCTGATAGAATTCTAAATTCCTTCTCTGTTAAATTGCATTTCACGAGCTTCCTCAAAATTGCTATTTCATTTTTTTTTTTTTCTGTCAGAAAGGTCACATATCTCTGTCACTCCAGGATTGGTTACTGGTGATTTATTTAGTTTGTTTGGTGAGGTCATGATTTCCTGGAAGGTCGTGATGTTTGTGGATGTTTGCCAGTGTCTGGGCATTGAATAATTAGGTATTTATTGTAGCCTTCATGGGTCAGCCTTGTTTATACTGATCCTTGGGAAGGTTTTCTAAGTATTTGAAGACTTGGGTGTTGTGATCTAAGTCTTTGGTCATTGCAGTGGTATCCGTATTAAGGGGCTCCACTCTTGTTGACTCATAGAGGTACTACCTTGATGGTCTTAGTTAAGATCTGAGATAATTCACTGGATTATCAGGCAGAATCTCTTGTTCTCTTCCTTTACTTTCCCCTAAACAAAGGTCATCTCTCACTCTATCCTGAGCTGCCTGGAATTGGAGGAAGGGGTGATGCAAGCAAGTTCATTGCCAACACCACTGGGACTGTGCTGGGTCACACTTGAAGCCAGCACACTACTAGTCCTCACCGAAAGTCTCTGGTGACTATTGTCTGGGTACCAGTGATGTTTATTCAAAGGCCAAGGGTTCTTTAGTCAGCAAGTGGTGCATCCTGCCAGGCCTGGGTCCTTCCCTTTAGGGCAGTATGTTCCCTTCTGGCCCAGGGTAGGTCTAGGAATGCCATGCTGAAGCTATGGCCTGGCACTAGGAACTTTAGAAACCTACTTCATGCCATATTTTACTGTGGCTGAGGTGGCACCCACATTGCAAGCAATGTCCCTTTCACTCTTCTCTTTCCTTTCCTCAAGCAGAAGGAGCCTCTCTATCCATGGCCACCACCACCCCAAGGCCATGGCACCCACTGCCTGGTTACTGCTGATGTTTGTTCAAAGCCCAAGGGCTCCTTAGTCAGCAGTTGGTGAATCGTGCCAGAACTAGGTCTCTCCTTTCAGGGCAGTGGGTTCTCTTCTGGCTCAGGGAAGGTTGAGAAATGCCAGCTAGGAGCTAAGGCCTAAAACTGGAGGCTTTAGGAGTCTGCTTGGTGTTTTCTTTTACTGTGGCTGAGCTGATCCCCAAGTTGCAAGATAAAGCCCTTTTCACTCTTCCCTCTCCTTTCCTCAGGCAGGAGTCTCTTCCCATGGCCAACACATCTGGGAATGTGCCGGGTCACATCTGAAGCCAACATGGTTCTGGGTCTCATCAAAGGCCTGTGGCAATTGCTACTTGGCTACTGTTGATGTTTACTCAAGGTCCAAGTGTTCCTCCGTCATTAATTAAAGAATCCTGCCAGGACTGAGTTCTTCCCTTCAGGGAAGCAAGTTCCCTTAAGGCATAGGGTGGGTCTAGAAATGTCTTCTGAGAGCTGGAGCCTGAAATAGGGGCTTCAGATCTCTGCTTGGTGTTTTATTTTACTGTGGCTGAGCTGGTATCCGAGTTATAAGAAAAAGTCCTCTTTACTCTTCCCTCTCCTTTCTTGTGTACCCCATGTCCACTGGCTCTAAGCCCAGTACAACACCAGGACTTGCTTAGGAACTGCAGTCCTTGTGGTCTAGACTTTCAAATTTATCTGGAACCCCAGGGTACTTTAGTGTGCAGTGTTGGGTCTAGCTGGAACTCAGGTTCCAAATGCTGGGACAGCAGAAAATATCCCTCTGCCTAGGGCTGGTCTAATGGCTCTCTTTGCGGGTGCTGGCTGAATTCTGCCCATGTTACCTTCTGCTGTGACAGGGCAGCAATGAGTTCCAATGCAAAGTCCCACAGTCACTGTGTTTTCCCTCCCCTAAGCAAACAGATTCTCTTCTTCCATGTGCCATGTGGTGCTGCCAAGGGGTGGGGGAGGGTTGGTATAGGGAATTCAAGACTGTCTTTCTTACCCTCTTCTGTGCCTCTTTGCTTGAAATAATGTTAAAATGAGGTACTATGATTGCTGACCTGATTTTTGGTTCTTATGAATGTACTTTCTTGTGTGGATAATTGTTCAATTTGGTGTTCCTGTAGGGAGGACAATGGCTGGAGAGTTCTATTCAACCATCTTGCACGAATTTATATTTTCTACTCCCGCAACTGGCTGCCTCTCCTGGCTTTGCTATCCTCAGGAATAATACCACCAGCATACTTTCTATTGTTCAAAGTGAAACCTTACATTTTCCCTTCTATACTCCATGTTCAAACAGATTCTGAGTTCCTTCACTATAAGAAAGGGTTTCGTATACTTTTTCTATTCTATTGACATTACTTTAGTTCATGCCCTAATTATCTTTTAGGTGTACTGCAATTTCTCATAATTAATATCTGTACTTCCAATCTCTTTCCTCATGAAAGCTCCCTTACACACTGGTACATGAGAACTTTTACTAAAGCCTACATTCTTATCAAGTAGCTCCCTAGTCAAAAACCTGCAGCAACTCACTATAAAATCATAGAAAAAAGACTAATTAATATGGCATTAAAATCTTCTATTATGTGATCTCCATCTGTTTTCAGCTTTATCTCTTAATACTTCTTTCTATAGTCATCATTCTCCAATTAATCCATTGTACTGTCCATTATCTAAGAATAGTCTACGATTTCTAATAGCTGAAATGGCTTTCTTCATTTGTTCCTGCTATAATCTTGTCCATTTCCCAAGTCTAGGCTTAAAAGTCTTTGTCTTAATCTCGTTATCTCTCCCCTCCTCCCCTGCCACTTATTTTTTCATTTTTCTTGTCCTCTGTTCTCCCATGGAACATTCTTGCTCCTTGTTCCTTTTCCATTTATTGCATTAAGACTTACGTCGCAGTTTGGGTTTTATACATCTCTTTCCCTCCACTTAAGGGTCAAGGAAAGCGCTGCAAAGATATAACAAAGATTGAAGTAGATACTAGTATTCTGTAAATGTATTTTGGTTTGATTATATTGCACTACCAAGTATAGAAGGGTTTAGTCTAGGAGCATTACTTTAGCACTCTGGAGGTGAGAAGGATCACGCACAAATTGCTACATGTCTAGTATTTGTTTGGATTTCCTCATGGAAATGAAGAGGACATTTGTTTCCCAGAATAGTACTGTACTTCTTTAGTGTAGATAACCCATCACATTGATTTATCTGTAGGCATAAAGAGACAGACAACACAGCGCATTCTGTGGGTTAACTGGAGCACATTTGTGCTATCAGTCACAACTACAGCCTCCTCTCCTAGATGCTCTGATGTTATGTGGAACAGTGATTGGCTGGGTGGGAAGAAAGTAGGGAACCATCTCTCTTTGCCCTCAATGTCACTGAGCAGCATGGGGTGGTGACAGATGCTGCAGGCTACTTACTAAAAAGCACTGTCTGTTTTCTTCTTACTGTCAGAGTAAAATTCTGTCTGGGTGTCCACTTCATCAAGGGATGTCTTCCTGAGACTCAGGGGTAATTCCTGATTAAGCCACTCATGTTAATATCATTCTTCTTCCTAGAAAATTTTTCTGGGAGATGTGAGACCCAACTCTGGTCAATAAAATATGAAAGAAATTTTGCTAAAGAAGTAAGTTTATTCTTGAAGAGATGCACAAAAAAATCTGTTTGCATTTTGTTGTATCTGAAGGTGGGTGACACTTGGAGTCATGGCTCTTATCTAATGATTAGTAACAGGTGCCACCATTTGGACATTGCTGGCACCCTGAGAATTGAAAGCAAAAAGAATGAACTGGGGAACTTGATACTGTCACAAGTGCTGGGGAAACTAGACGTTAGGGTTTTTATTATGTGACAAATACATTTTCCTTATTATTTGAGCCAGCTGAGTAGGAGGGTTTCTTTATTGTAGCTGGAGCCACCCTGACACATAGGACTTCATGTTGGCATCAGGCACCTTGCTCAGGTGGCAGATGCTAATCATTGTTAGGGCTTCAGGGGGCAAGCACATTATTTCTATTGCCTGCTTGAAAAATTGTGCTGATTTATTGCTAGGTCCTGAATCTGTCATTTTTTTCATGGATCTAGTAACATGTCTTTAAAATGTACTGTACATTTCCTTTGTAATAATTATCAAACTTACAATGCCTAATATTTATCTTCTTTACTAGTTTAAAAGCTCTATGACGGCAGTGACTGTATCTGCTAGGAGAATTCCTATATTTACAGTAATCAGCTCAGAGCTGTCACAGAGGTGTTCAGTAAATAGGTACTCAGTAAGTATCTATAAGGTGTTCAGTAAATAGGTACTCAGTAAGTATCTGTAAAATGCATGAAAAAAGGAGTAAATGAATACATAGAGAACATCAAAAACATTCTCCCTGGTTATTTCTACTGCTCACACCTCCCCTGCCTTGCCTTCTTACCAATTCAGGCCTACAAAGGTATGCTGTGTCTTGAATTTTAGGAGAAGAAACAGAAAAAGGAAGGACACTATCATTACAACTACTGTTTGCTCTCTCCCACTGAGTGGAGGAAAAGAAACAAGTCTCAGAGGTAACTTACAAAATATTTTCATAGAGTAAAACTACAATCGTCTCCCATATTGCTGCTCTAAATATTATTTAAGAAATATTATTTAAGAAATATTCAGTTATACTTTTTAAAGCCTGGTCCCCTAAGTCCAGAGCCTCTGCTATTATCTCAGAAGACTTCATTTATTGTCTTCTGTATTGGTGGATGTGGGGACCTGGAGAGCAGGGCTCCATAGTGAAACCTTCAGGACAGCAAGATCCACAGCTCTTTCCTTTGATGTGAACCACGTCTGCACTAACCCCTCTGTTTAAACCCAAAATGAAGCTTAGGAATAATTCAGTATAACTGAGTCGAGCAAAGATTTATCCATCAACTATTTTAAGTTCCTCATTTTTCAGATGAGGAAAATGAATGTTTCTGTCA
This sequence comes from Homo sapiens, assembly GCF_000001405.40. NCBI lineage: Eukaryota > Metazoa > Chordata > Mammalia > Primates > Hominidae > Homo > Homo sapiens. Next base: position 81,535,100 of record NC_000003.12, read on the forward strand.
TCAAGATCAACCTTAGTCTTTTTTTTTTTTTTGTCCTATAATGTAATAAAGAAGTGAATGTGGACAGTCATATTCACTGGTAACAAAAAGGATATTTCCCTGGCAATGCTGTTCCAACTCGGTAGTCAGTGTAGCTCTTGCTTGGATGGAAGTTGAAAATGAAAAGAAGACCTGCTCTTTCAAAAGCAATGATCTTATTGCCTTCATGTTTTTCACTCACGTAGGCCTGCAAGAATTAGCACACATGTTACATTTAAATAATACCTAGATGCTGCTACAAGTACATTATTTTTTGTCTTTCTTAATAGTCTGGTTATTAAACCAAAAATGAGTATTTCAGAACACTATATTTTTTTGAACATGTTACAATTTTGCTGTACCTAACTGTGAGCCAAGAACAGTCTCAAAAATTGTTTAGTGGAGTATACAAAGCTCACCAGCCACTTGCTACCCTCATAGCACAAATAGAGAAACAGTGTTGTGGCTCAGGTTTTAAGTAAAACCATGGTACCTATACATACTACAAAGTGTTCGTTTGTATATATTAGATCTACTTATAAGTGAATTTTCTGTAAGACTTTTAGTCTCCAGCTTAATGCGGTTAGGTACATAAAATTACTTTTCAAAATTTAATGTAACATTTTTATTTTAATGTAGTTTCTGAAATTACAGTTCTCTTAAACATTTTACATTTTTACCCAACTTTGTCAGATTCAATGGCAACCTAAAGTCAATTACAATACTTTTTTTTCTTAATAAAAAGATAAGGTCTGAAAAGAAATTACATCTGTAAACTCTCTTCTTTTCTTCATCATCATGTATTTACAGTTGGCTGTGAAAAGCCTTGGCTTTTTCAACACCACCCTCACTCAGCCCCAGCTTTGAGAGGACTTATTGCCATGCATACCCGCAGCACCACTCTTGGTAATTTAGAAATGTGAACTACAGCTCTAGAGTAAACAGGGTGCCTTTTGGTATTCAACGTTGTTCCTATTGAAAAGGAGCATCATTTTGCTCTCTCTTCTGGAAATAGCATTACTAATAAACGTGATTAGGGCATTCGTGTCATGGAACAAATCTTACTGAATATATAAATACCTTTGTTCAGCCATTAAAAAAAAAAGAATCATAGACACCAAAGTAAAAACACATCAACAGTAATTTCAAACAGCCCCAGTATAAAGTAAATGGATTATAACGAAGACATATTATATGTTAACTTTTGCCAGGAAAAAAGAAGCCTGTATAAAATTTTCACTTGTTAATTACATTTTCTAAAATTTGTTGAAAACTGAGACATTAATTCCAGAGGACAGACAGGCTCATGAAAAATACAAAACAGCATGCAGGTATAATGGCATCTATTGAAATGACAAGTTAGAGGCCACTAAAGAAGAGAAAAAAAAATGAATAAAGAAATTTACATGTTGTCAAAGTAGTTTCTTTATGACAGCATAATTATTTACATAAAAAAGTGTTCCAAACAATTAAGATGTTTCCACAGCAATTTCCAAAATGGGTTCCCTGCAGAGCTTTTATTGTTTATTTTAACCAATAAAAATACAAATTACTAAATTTAAACAGTAACAAACAAACCAGGAAACTAAGCAGGGCATTATGTTTAAGATTTTCATTATCAATTGAAGAGACTTCAGTGACATGTTTTGACAACCTGAAGTATGGTACAGGACACTAGACACTGAATAATAAATTGCTGTTTAAAAGATCTGCATAGAGATTTAAATTGGTTGCCATTCTAGGCATGTACCTCATTGGTGACTAAAACACAGCATCCAGAGTGAAGAGCTTACCTGTGGAGCTGCAAGCCAACCATATCTTTCTTCCAATCTATTCATATCCCTGTCAAAATTATTTAGGAACTTGTAGCGAAGAAGGTCGTCGTCAGTTAAATGAAACTGCCGCCTGGCATAATGGTAACTCTCATTATTTCCTTTTCTTGGGAAGTCTAACCATTCAGGATGCCCAAATTCATTACCTGCATTACAAAACACATGCAAATATCAGCCTATTAATATTAGAATTTCTTACTAATAATAAATCAATAATTATATGTTTTTAATGTTTTTTAAATTTAGTTTAGGCTATCATTTACTAGACCTGTGTCCTGTGAATGATGTACAGGTGTAGCTCAAAAATAGCACGGTCTAGCACAGGAAGTACCACCTTTGGACTCAGAAGCCCAGGGTCCAGCTTCAGTTTGGCTGCTCATTACTTGTTGCACATCTTGGTTTCCTCAAGCACAAACTGAAGACAATTATCAATGTCATACTTATTTCATTTCTGAAATAATCTCTGCGATCTCAGAGTAATTTCTGAAATATCTATTTCTATAATCTCTGAAATCTGTACAATTCTTGACAATTTCCAAAGGCTTTGTATGTAGGTTATTTTTTGATCCTCAAAGGAACTCTCTATTATATTCATTTCACAGATGAGAAATCCAAAGCTCTGGCCAGTTAAGAGACTTGCCCAACTTCACATAGTGGGAAAGCAACCATTAAAATTGAGTTCCTCTCATTAAAATCCAGTTTTTCCTACCACATCACATTAGGCAAATATCTTGTAAACTTCAGGTGCTAAGGAAACTCAGGTCATTACTTTTATTATGAATTTTCCGTATTTCTTTTTCAGATCTATTTTTTACTACTAGAGTGTGTACCTTTCATTTCAAGTGTGCCTGCATGCTTATGCTTATTCTTCTGTGTGTTTAGCTGAGACCCCTGGCTGGGGATCTATATAATATTATCTCTCACTATAATGATCAGAACCAGAAACCCAATAAACTTAAAAATAAAATAAAACAGTAACAAATACATAGTTTCCATTTTGAGAATCAATTTTAGATATTAGTCATCTAACCGATTGGTTTTTATTGTTACCCTTAAGTTCAATTTCTACTTTAAGCCTTCTTTTCTTTCCCTAAAAATTAAATGCTACTTTCCAAACTTTTCTTTCATGTGCTACAATTAATTATTGCTGTGATTTTCTAATTAGTGCTACAAATTTCTAATTAATGCCGCAAATTTCTAATTAATTTTATAAATTTCTCCAATGAGTTAGAAAGTATCATAGCCAATACAAACGTATCCTACTTCAAATACACTGCATATTAATATTATAATAAATAAAAACTAATAAGCTAGGATGTAATTCAAAATAATTTACTGCAGAGGTGCTTTAAATAGTGAACTTTATGCTAAGAAATTCTGCAACTTACATTTAACTTTTCAGGACCACATTCATCCAAATAAAAATATCATCCAAATAAATAGGTGTATAGCAGTTTCTTAAAAATTAATAAGTGTCTACAAACATTTTGCTCAATTCAAATTTCAGTCTAAATGATAATATTTCTTATGATGTTGTCCACAGTGTGTCATAGCAGAGAGCCGACTTTATGAGGCTATATTAGGATGCTTTAAATTGACACAAGGAATGTCCCTCTGCTATATTTAAAGGTCCTGTCTAGGTCTAAAGTCTGATTCACATCAGCCCAAGGTATACCGATGGCACAGCTTACTCCTTCAACCATGAAACTAGCAAAATAATGTACCTGCAGAATTGCAATTGGAGCAATCTTTACTGATAATGAAGGGATTTCCAGTCTGGGAACAAGTATATGTCCACATACCAATCCAAGGACTAGCGGGATTTTAACTAGTGGATGATTTACAAGAGACTAGAAATGCCATGAGGTAGCGATAGTATATTAGCCTACAAACTGGATCCAGGCTTCCCATAGGCAAAATACTTTTCTTCTGGGACAGCCGTGGATCTCTGGGTTGATCCCAGTATTAATAAACAATTCCTTTAGCCCTCTTCCATGGAGACTGTCACATCATTGTCATCACGATGACAGTAGAAGCAGCAGCACATGCTTAATTTCTGTTTATTATGTGCCAGGCACGATTGTAGGCATTGCACATGAATTAACCCTATCTTCCACAATTGTCTAAGGTAGGTAATATCATTATTTCAATTTTACAGATAAGGAAACTGAGGCACAAAGATGTTACACAGTAATTAAGGAGTTGGGCCTGTGAACCCAGTTAGTCTGGTTTCAGCCCCCTGACTCTTAATTACTACCATAGCATGTTGTGCACAAGTAAATTCTATGGAAATACAGGGCTAAGAATGACCAACTTCTCATACCTGGACAGAGATTCCAGGTATGTATCAGATGCACAAATGCATCAGAGTGAGAAAGTGAGATGTAGTAAAAAGTTCAGTTTAGCCACAAAATAAGACTTGTGGTAAGGAGATAAAGCAGGATCATTAGGATGAACCGTATACATTTTGTACCTTATATTGCAGGCATTAGGGAATCAAAGGCTATTTTAAAGTAGGGAAATGAGAATTCCAAATGTGTTTATTATTAAAATATCTCTGGTACCATGTGGAAAAAAGACTGGATATCAGGGAAAGTTGAATGATAGGAAAACTGGTATGGAATCCAATGTATAACAGATGATGAGATTCTGTGGAAACACAGAAAAGAATGATCGATTCAAATGGCATTTCTGAGATGGAAATAACAAGATTTGATGACAGACTGACTGAATGGCGACAGTGAGGAAAAGGAAAGTCGGAATGCAATTTTGAAGTTTTGAGTTCAGAAGGCTGAGTAGTGACAGTGTTAACTACACTAGAGGAAAACGGTGACAGAAAGTTTGGGGTAAGAAGATAATGAGTTCAATTTTAGGCCTGCTAAATTTAAGACACGAAGGAAACATCAGCATCTGTAGATTTAGAAGAACGATAAAAATAAGGTACTGAAACTCAAGAGAGAATTGTAGGTGGGGAGAAAGAGTAATTTATAAAGCCTCAATAAGCAAAGATAATGAGAGCCACCAGAGAAAAAACGCCATGGCCAGCATACCAAGGAACTGAAGGCAGAAAGAAGCCATGTTAGGGAAGACTGAGAGCAATGGTTAGCAGGGTAAAGGGGACATTAGAAGAAAACATAGAAGGCTAAGAAAAGTCCCAAGGATGGTGGTCAGTAGCATTAAATGCTACCGAAAAATAAAATCATAAATAAGAACTTGCTACATGATCTCCCCTCTGATGCAGAAATAAGATGGTGTAAAGCTATGCTTTTCAATCTATATTACATTCCAGAATCACCAAGGAAGGCTGTTAAAAATGTTCACCCCTACCCTCAATGATATGGATACATTACTTCTGGAGTGATTAGTAGGCTGGAATCTACAGTTTATCAACTTCTCCATAATATTTTAAAAGTAGTCAGTTAGACAACATGATGCCCATGGATACAGATTTCCAAGTTAGCAAGACTTGGGTTTAAATCACAGCTATGCCACTTATAAGTGATGTGAATATAGGCAATTTAATCTCTCTAGTGCTTGGTTTCCTCATCTGTAAAATCATCATTCTGAGGAGAGAACCAGCTGCCCATACAGGTAACAAGGATGAATCCAAAGGGTTGCTAGCTATTTGGCTCTTGTTCATACAGGTTTTCATGGAATGGCCTTATTCCTTTCTTTAAAGTGCTGAAGTTCTGCACAGATGCATTTATTCATATTTTAATAATACAAACATATATCCCAAAGCCAAGTATTAATGTGCTTTGAATCATCTACTGTTTTAGATCTTAAAAGACAGAATTGAAAATGAAAATAATGTTGTTACAAGACACAGACTGATTGGGTAAATCAGATTACTATGTTAGGAATCCTATATCCACCCTCATGAAAGCCTCACTATTCTACATGTTCACCTTGCAAAGCCTCTGAATAAGCTCTCAAAGGTTATTTGTAGTTTAACTGACAGTTGATTATATACCACTTAAAATTAACATTTTAGGCACTATCTAAAAGTAGAGTTCTGCTCTGGCTAGAACACTCCTGGCACCTGATGACCTCCCCAACTCCCATTTCTTCCTAGCCTGCTTGAAAATGTGACCTGAGGTCACGCTGTTGCTGCTTGCTATCTTTACCAACTGCCTTGGGTAGATTAATGAGGTGAAAACAACAAATTCATTTTCACTGTATAGTTTTGCTTGCTGTTAGTATCTTGACTTTGTAGTGGAGTTTTCAATAGTACAGAAATGAATGGTGAGTTTGACTAAAACTATCAGAGGACGATATTAACTCATCGCACAATCTGATTAAAAGCTAAGTAACTGCTCCCCAGGAAAACACATACACACACACACAAACACACACCCACCCCACGATACAGCCTCAGAGGGTTCATGGACTCCATAAAAATGTGAAATTACATTATTATCATTTATTTCTAACATTCCAGTGTGAAAAATTCACATGCTTATAATCTACAGCATAAATAATGGTGATGGGCTGCAAGTTGCCCCCCCCGCCACCTCGCCCAAATTCATATGTTGAAATATTAACTCTTAATGTGGTGGTATTTAGGTGATGGGGCTTTGGGAGGTGATTAGTTCAGGAGGGTTGAGCCCTCATGAACAGGATTAATGTTGTTATAAAACAGGCCCCAGAGAGCTGCCTTGTTTCTTCTGCTGTGGAGGATACAGTGAGAAGACAGCCATCTGTGAACCAGGAAATAGGGCATCACCAGATATCAAATCTGCCAGTGCCTCGATCTAGGACTTCCCAGCATCCAGACTATGAGAAATAGTTTTTGTTGTTTAAGCCACCCAGTCTATGGTGGTTTGTTATAGCAGGACAAACAGGCTAAGATAATAAGGACTGAAGAGTAGCATAATTACAATTAAATAGGTAAGGCATGTAAATTATTTAGAAGCATATACGATACATAGTATGTGCTTAATAAATATTGACTTCTATTACAATGTTTTATTTTTATTTTATTTATTAATTTATTAAGTAATCCACTCATAGAAATATTTTTAAAAATCACAATTACACACACAGATGTTACAAAATAATCTGTTTTTCTTTTGATAAACATTGTATTTATTTTTGTCTATATCCACATCTGTATATTTATATCTATATCTATATTGATACCTATACATACATTCATACCTATCTACCAACTACCTACAACTTGTTTTTGAACAAAGATAGACTTGCATTATATATTATTTTGAAATTTAAAATGAGCATTTTGCATATCAATAGGTATGCATCTCCATGATGGTATTCCATTGTGGACCATGTAATGAAATTTTATTTAACCAATCACCTTAAGTTGGTAATTTTGACTTTTTCTAATATTTCTGTGTTATAAAAAATCACCAGTCTTTTATATGTATCTTTGTACACCTGTCTGATATTTCCCTAACATAAACTGAATAAATATAATATCTGCTCAAAGGTAAACAGCAGATATTCTAGGATCAAACATTTCCCAAGTTTTGAACACTGCTCATGATTCGAAGATACAGGCACAAGTTAGTAGATTCTCCTGAAAATAATTTTCAACACACAAATTATATTTCTTAATGTATATGTTTAGGATTCTACTTTAAAAGTATTTTTCATCATGTATATTTAATGTTTCATTTTAGTGCCCTCTAAGATACATCAATTTAAAATATTTGTCATTTCAATACCATATAATGGTATTGAAAAATTAGTAAGCATTAAGAAAAAATTCATCTGGGGACTACTAGAGGCAGGAGAGAGAAAGCAGGGAGGGCTGAAAAACAACCTATTGGGTACTATGTTCACCACCTGGGTGACAGACATTCACACCCCAAACCTCAGTGTCATGCAATATATCCACATAACAAACTGCCCATGTACCCCATGCATCTAAAATAAAAGTTGAAATTATTTTTAAAAAGTAACTAATTTTTAAATGGAGAAATTTAATTACATGAGGTTAATTTCAGTACTTAGAAAAATCTGAGAAAAAGAAAAAAGCACACAAAATATTTGGTAATATTTGGTAATGTAACTCAATTTAAGATTTTGTTTATATTTTAACTTTTATTTCATTTATCTTTTTAAAGTATAAATTCACTACTTTAAGAGCATCTCAAGAAGCATATTCATATAATATGTAATATGAAATTAAATTTCTAAGTTAGAAAATAGAACTTTAATTTAAAAAATTCAAAATACGGTAATGATTCTATTTTATTAGAAAATCATTTATTAATCTCTATTAGACATTTAGATTTTCTGAAAATGTTCCTTCAGAGAGGCCTCTTTTTAGACTGAAAAATATAGAAAGTTGCATACAACAAAGAGAGACAGAAAAATTGTATCAGTGATTGTAGACAAAACATTCTACAGGGTGGCTCTGAATGTTTTCTCTGTTGTAAACGAGCTGACAAGGGGCAAATTAAGTTTAATGTAGACAAACGCAACATTAAATTTCATATTTGGTTCAAAACCATAAACACAAGCATAAAATAAATGGAAGCAAATCACAGAAAGACTTTCAAAGTGACCTTGGGATAATAGTGAACCATTCTTAAGGCCTGAGAGAGAAAACTGGAAAATGCCTGTTAGTATCTTCCACTAGCTCAAAGCTCACAAACCTAATGAAGAAAAATATTATCATTAAAACAAGTTAAGAATGTCCTTCTCAGCTATGGGCTACAAATTACTTAGGATATATGGCAGTAATTCAGACAGTACAGTGAAATATGGTGACCCAAATGAGCCTATAAGTAAGGGTGCTGTGTATAAGGGCTACTGTGTATAAAAATGGATCAGAAATCTAAATTTATTCAGGTGATGGCAAATAATATAATTGATTTATTTTAGCATAGATGACTTGACAGAATGCAAACAATATGATCTGAATCAGCATTTGAATTTAAGCAATATGTATATTCCTAAATTATATATGAATATGATAGGTACACATATGTACATAATACATTTATATGTTCCTCAATGAATGCAACAGGTGTTCACAACTTGGGGCTCATGCATTTCTAATGATTTTCTAATATTTCATGCAAAATGTTGTATGTATGTTCACATGCATTTTTCAGAGGAGAGAAATGTGTTCTTTGGATTCTCCAGGCATCCAAAGATTAACTGTATTTGTGAAAGAACCATTCACTATATTAGAATGCCAGCAACTAGAAGAATGGGTCACAAGTAAGGGCTTTTAAGCAAAATAAAAAAGAAAAGTAGAAAGCTAAGTTAAAGGAAGCATTTTTAAAACCTTTGGCTGGTTTATTCAACAGATAAGAGGCTTAGAAAAGTCACATTTAAACTAACTGTAGCGCACAGAGGCAATGACTGTGACAGTTAAGAACAATAGTTCTGAGTCCAAAATACGTATTACAAGTAATCTGGCACTAACCATCAAAGCATGATCGTTCTGCTCATTAAATTATGATTATGATCAGTAGTGTAATAGATAGAATGTTCCTCGATTCAAAATGAAGAGAGGATAATCATTTTTTGAGCCATCGCTTGGGACCCTTTCTAAGAGAATTCAGAATTCATGGTATGATTCATTGCATTCAATATAGTAACAGAACTGGGTGCTTCTAGAAATGAGAAATCTGAAAACTTTGGCTAAACCTTAAAACAAAATCACGGAAGCCCGTAACTAACATTGCTATAGTTAATGATTCTAAAAAAGTCTACCAAGTTCCTTCTCTCTAGTTCCATTTCCTCCTTACACAGCCCCATTCATGTCTGGTTAATTGTGAAAAACCTCTAAGAGCAAAATTCCAATTGGGACTCCTTCTCCTGTAATTAATTTTTTTGCTGTTTGATGTAAAGGTCCAAACTATAACTTGACAAGAAGCCAGCTGGTACAGTGATGAAATTCAAGGCAATATAACTAATAAAAAAGCCCCAGCTCTGTTGGCTGAACATTTTGATTAGCAGGTTTGTGTATTTTTTTTCTGTAAACTGTAATGCATACTAATTTTACCTAGGAATTAATTAAAGTATATCAAAACCTCCATGCTGTGGATTTTACATAATTTGTTATTGTTCCCCAGTTTACATGTATATAAAAATAATGTATAGTCCTAATGAGAATATAAAAACGTTAGCGCCTACTCCTCTTTCCTGTACTAAAGACTAACTTTTAAAAGAAAATATCTACATTAAAATGAAATTCTTTGGCTTTTCTCTGGTATTGCAGTGAGTACTTAACTCACCAAAGTGTGAGGCACAGCACAAAGCAATTTTTTAAACCAGGGCCTGTGATTTTTCTTTAAAAAAAAAATAAACTTGTAATCACTGCCCCTGCTGCCTTTGATACTAATCAGTGTGGTTATGGGAAGGGGCCACATCTAATGTTTCTCTGTCATTCTCCACAGCAAGCTCCAGTGCACTGTACCTGAAACAGTCTCCTTAAATATTTGTTAAGATTTGACGTTTTCCTCTATAATTATTAAATGTCCAACATAATTTCTCTGGAGGTACAGAAGCAAAATATAGTGATCAGATCCAGAAGATGAGAGAAAGGATGACATGCTAGATGAGGCCAACAAAACAGAACTCAGTGCTCAAGAGAACAGGATTTATCATTACAGTCTATCACAGCCTCCCTTTTGCCTCCAGACTGTAAATGGTATGTAATTCTTTGTTGATATCAAGCATATGTGTGTGTGTGTGTGTGTGTGTATGTGTGTGCATGCCAGTTGTATTCCACCAGTCCACTCTTTTCCATGGTTTCACTTTCCATGGTTTCAGTTACCCATGGTCAACTGTGGCCTGAAAATATTAAATGGAAAATTCCAGATATAATTCATAAGTTTTAATGCATGCCCTTCAGTGTAGCATGATGAAATCTTGTGACGTCCTCCTGCATCCCACTCCAGATGTGAATCATCACTTTGCCCAGCATCTCTGCACTATCCACTACCTGCTCATTAGTCACTTAATGGCCATCTCAGTTACCAAACGGACTGCCATGGTATTGCTGTGCTTGTGTTCAAGTCACCTTTATGTTATTTTGAATGGCTCCAAAGCACAAGTAGTGATACTGGCATACTGTTATAATAGTTCTATGTTATTATGCAGTATTGTTGTTAATCTCTTACTCTGCATAATTTATAAATTAAACTTTATTATAGTTATATATGTAAAGGAAAAAAAACAGTGTATACATGGTTCAGTACAACATGAAGTTTCAGGCATCCACTGAAGAACATACCCCAGTGGAAAAGTAGAAACCACTGTACATGCACACACACACACAAACTCACACACACACACACAAACTCACACACACACTAACTCACACACACTCTCACTTTAAATACACACACCTGTACACACTCATATTATAGGCAACAGTCCTGATGAGAATATTAAAAACAAAAAACAAACACCTAACTCCCATTCCTCATAACTGTACCAGGTTTGTCAGGGGTGTCTGAACCACAGCAACTCCATCTTGAAGAGGGGCTGGGTAAAATAAGGATGAGACCTACTGGGCTGCATTCCCAGATGCTTAGGCATTCTAAGTCACAGAATGAAATAGGAGGTTGGCACAAGACACAGGCCATAAAGACCTTGCTGATAAAACAGATTGCAGTAAAGAAGCCAGCTAAAACCCACCAAAACCAACATGGTAATGAGAGTGACCTCTGGTCTTTCTCACTGCTATACTCCCACCAGTGCCACAACAGTTTACAAATGCCATGGCAACATCAGGAAGTTACCCTCTATGGTCTAAAAGTGGGAGGCATGAATAATCCACCCCTTGTTTAGCATATAATCAAGAAAATAACCATAAAAATGAACAACCAGCAGCCCTTGGGGCTGCTCTGTCTATGGAGTAGCTATTCGTTCATTCCTCTACTTTCTTAATAAACTTGCTTTCACTTTACTCTATGGACTCTCCCTGAATTCTTTCTTGCCTGAGATCCAAAAACCCTCTCTTAGGGTCTGGATCAGGACCCCTTTCCGGTAACATCTTTCCGGCCACCATGGAAGGAACAATACTAAGGAAACTCCTGACCCAAAGACTAACTTTGGGTAAGTGCTGGGGTCCAGTAACATCTTTCTGGCAGACCATGGAAGAAATGAAACTAAAGAGACCCCCAACCCAAAGGAAAATCACCTGCATGTACCAATTGGCGAACTTTCGGCACGTGGGGTGCATATACCCGAGTGAAGAGTGGGATTGCATTAGACGCCCAATTTAAGGGAGGCAGAGTCTCTCCTAAGACAGATTTAAAGGCTCCTCTCAGAAAAAGGCAAGGACGCTTGACTGAACTTGGGTTCGAGGCCCAACTTAGGAATGTTAGAGTCCTTTATAAGATTTAGGGGGTTAGTGGACCCTCTTAGTAAAGTCCTCGGATAAGAACGGGTTCAGCACTATGGGATGTTAACTGCTATGCTCTTTGGAGTAATCTGCTTTGCAGTCTTTGCTGACAGTTGCAGGTGACAGAATTACACAAGTAAAGGACCATGGGAAATGGGGAGCTTTTTCCTCCCTCAAAGGGGAAATTCGATAATTTTCCTCTTTGTTGCAGCTTGGCAGCCAGGGCTTTGGTGCAGCCAGCCGGGTCACTGGGGCCACTCAGGGCAAGGGAACCCAGAAGCCCGGCATGCCAGCAAAAGGATAAGAATTTCTTACTAGTCAGGCTTCTAGGTTCGTTTGTTCTCTCTCTCTCTCTCTCTCTCTCTCTCTCTCTCTCTCTCTCTTTCTCCCTCTGGGCAAACTGGTTGAATGAATGGTAAAAATCACTGTTTATCTCCTCTGTAAAGGTTTGATTAATGGGAAAAAAGGATCTGTGAGGCTAATCTTAAGCTGTAGCAAATCTGGTGTGCTTTGTGTGCCTTTCTGTATTGTTTGGTCATAAAGAGGGGTATCTTAGGATAGAATGTTGGCCTAGGACACCATAAGCTTGCTGTTCAAAATGGCCCAGAAAACTGGTCGGTTACAAACTTCGCTGCAGGTCCCTGAAACAAAACTGGATGAAGTTCTCCTCTTCTCTTGTTCTATATCCTTGGGAGATGACCTTTTAACCACATGGCAGTACTTTCTCTTGGTCTCTGCTGTCACAATGGCTGCTCAGGTTCAGGGTTCAATTCCTGGCTTAGGAAATGAGTCCTTTCTGGTTTGATATCAGTGTGACATTTGCCATTTTTTAATTCTCTTCCCCTCTAGGAACCATCTTTGGAGTAATCTGCCTTGCAACCGGAATTTGGCTCAAAACAGGTTTTTCTTAGAGCACTAATCGACACTTTAACAAAAAATTGTAAAGGTTATAAAAATTGTAAGGGTTAAAAAAGGTTTATGAGTATCTCACCTTATGGTCAAACATTAAATTTGGGTAGACATGTCAATGAGTTTTATTAAGAATTGGTTTTAACATTAATAGTACACTAATGTAAAGGTGAAATTTGGCTTATTTGGTACAAAAATCATACAGGAAGCACTGTCACATGTGAAATAGTGTTTGGCTTTCTTTGGGCTATATTTGTTTAAATATGTTGTTGGTATGTGTTCCAAAATTACGTAAAACTCCTCTAATTCTAATAGGACTTAGTGTATGTTATTATAATTGTTACATAAAATCATATGCCAGAAAGGTAACCAAATTTCTTTGTCAATCGTGTTTTTAACTGTGGCTGCCCTAAAAGATTTTGTCATTCACAGAAAATTGTTATGTTGTTTTGATCCTCTTCAAAAGATTGTTTCATAATCAGTGACAGGACTTTGATAGTTGCTCTTAAATGCAGGTTTCTGATTACTTTGAATAACTTTGGAATAGAGAAAAAACATTAAGGACTCTCATGGAGAGCTGAAATGTTTATGACTATCAAGCAGAAGATGAGTTAACTGCATGGACTAAACTAATGTAAGATTAAAGAAACTTTTTTGACATTTTGCTTAAAAATTGCTGATCATTTGCTTTGTTTTTCAGAGTCAAGGTAACTTCTTTTAACCTACTTGCAGCTTTTGACAATTAAGTAAAGTATACTCCTGTGAACAAAATTTGAAACATATTTGTTTCTCTCTACCTAATTTCTCCAGAATTTGGAAACTATTTGTGAGTATTCTTTTTTTTTTTTTTTTTTCAGATGGAGTCTTGCTCTGTCACCTAGGCTAGAGTGCAGTGGTGTGATCTCACTTACTGCAACCTCCGCCTCCCTGGTTCAAGCAATTCTCCTGCCTCAGCCTCCTGAGTAGCTGGGATTACAGGTGTCCACCACCATGCCGAGCTAATTGTTGTATTTTTAGTAGAGATGGGGTTTCACCTTCTTGGCCAGGCTGGTCTCGAACTCCTGACCTTGTGATTCACCCTCCTCAGCCTCCCAAAGTGCTGGGATTACAGGAGTGAGCCACCACCCCCGGCTGGGTATTCTTAATTTATGGTAATACAGTTATTTGCATAAGTGCAATAAGAATCTGTTTCCTTTTGTAACAGGACACAATTGGTGAAACTGGTTATCAAGGCATTGACCAGAATGGTGTGCTTTCCTTTAAGGAATTGAGCTTGACTTTAAAGCCAATAAAAGCCTCTTGAGAAAACTGGCCTCATACCTTGTCTACACAGTCTCTGTACAGGGTTCTTGACCCACAGTGATAAGCAACGAATGTCACTTTCTGATAAGCCCAGGAGCCCCAAGCTATCTTGTGACTTCAAGAGTAGAGGAATTTATCCAACTCATAGATGTCTGAGGTTACAAACACAAGGCTGGGCTCAACTTAAAAAATAAAAGTCTTATCTGAGATTCCTTATGCAACAGAATTCCATCAAAGCCAACCAAAAAGTTTATATCAAAAATAATTATTCTTGCTGTACTTTATACAAATAAACAGGCCAAGTATAATAAAGCAAATCAGTCTTACCATAATTTGTCTCTAGTAAAAATGGGAAACTGGAGAGAGAAATTAAGTTTCAAGAACTATAGTACACTTGTTATTAATAGATTCTAGTCTCATCGGTTGTTTTTGAGTTTTTTCCTGCAATTTAGGCTGACCCTGCTTACTCCTATAAACCAACCAGTGATCTCTGGATGCTGCTCAAAAGAAATAAAAAGGATGAGTAATATAAAAATCTGGAGTCAATATTCTAACCCTGGGCACACTGGAACTGGCTAGCAACCCCATAACAGCTTGGTTCCAACAATTGCCCAGTTCATGGAAAGCCTTCTAATTCAGTTTACTTGAGATAATTTTACTTATTTTACTTTACTCTTTTGGAATACATCGCTGTTTTACTCCACATGTAGGAATGCAGGATAAGCTTACTCAATGTTCTCTGAAACTGGACAGTTATTAATCTTCCAGATATCACCTTTTTTTCAGCACTCAATAGTTACGAATGGCTATCACCATACCAATGCTTTCTGACTGAGCTCCTCTCTACCCTGAATGCAAGAGACCTAACAGTTAGGTAGGAATATCATTGCCCTTATTCAGCCTGAAGAAGTTACAGAAGATGGATCTTCATCCCTCTATAACCTTTAAGAGTTCTCTTATAAAATGGAGGGAGAATATATGTCAGAGGTGTTTGAATCAGAGCAACTCCATTTTGAATAGGGACTAGGTAAAATAAGACTGAGACCTACTGGGCTGCATTCCCAGATGACTAGGCATTCTAAGTCACAGAATGAGACAGAGGTTGGCACAAGACACAGGTCATGAAGACCTTGCTGATAAAACAGGATGCAGGAAAGAAGCCAGCTAAAACCCACCAAAACCAACATGGCAATGAGAGTGACCTCTGGTCATCCTCATTGCTATACGCCCACCATCACCATGACAGTCTACAAATGCCATGGCAACGTCAGGAAGTTACTCTATGTGGTCTTAAAAGAGGAGGTATGAATAATCCACCCCTTGTTTAGCAAATAATCAAGAAATAACCATAAAAATGAACAACCAGCAGCCCTTGGGGCTGCTCTGTCTATGGAGTAGCCATTCGTTCATTCCTCTACTTTCTTAATAAACTTGCTTTCACTTTACTCTATGGACTTTCTCTGAATTCTTTCTTGCCTAGATCCAAGAACCCTCTCTTGGGGTCTGTATAGGGACCCTTTTCTGGTAACAGATTCACTGTTTTAAAACAAAATGCTTTGGTCTCCACGTTCTCTCATGTCTTTCTCCTGCACACTCCTCCCTTAAAAGATACAAGCCAAAGAATATATTCTAAGCCCCATGTTAAAGTGGTCATATGTTTAACTATAACAGAAGAATACAACTTTAGAACTACTTAAGTGTATCTGTGCATCAGATAACATGCTTAATTGCTTAATATACATCAGCATCATCCCTGTTCTCATAGAACTCACAATTTAATAGGAGAGATTTTACACAACCATAAAAATATCCATTTCCTTAACATGATGGGGGGTGCTGGACAAGAGGGATCAAAAGAAGGCTTAAAGGATCTGTAAAAGTTAAAGAAAGTAGTAGGAGAGTATGAAAGGAAAACAAATCCTGGGGCCCCAGAATCACTAAGCTAAAGGGAAAAGACAAGCTGGGAACCGCTTCTATTCAAAGTCACCCCTCTGCTCACTGAGGTCAATGCATATCTGATTGCCTCCCTTGGAGAGGCTAAGCAGAAACTCAATGCAACCATTTTCCTCTCATCTACCTATGACCTGGAAGCCCCCTCCCCACTTCCAGTTGTCCCACCTGTCCTTCAAGTTGTCCTGCTGCTTTGGACTGAACCAATGTTCATCTTACTATGACTGATGTCTCATGTCTCCCTAAAATGTATAAAACAAAACTGCTCTGACCAAGCTGGACACATGTCATCAGGACCTCCTGAGGCTGTGTCCGGGCACACATCTTCAACCTTGGCAAAATAAACTTTCTAAATGAACTGAGACCTGTCTTAGATATTCAGGGTTCACAGTGATATGAGACAAATGCTCCTGTTCCATCTAATCATGCCATGGTGACAAATATCCATACCCCCAATTCTAGAAGAGCTGAAAGGGGCCAGGAATGTGGTGCTGAATGTTAGAACTAGGGAAGCATGCTGGGTCCATACCCTCACTCTACCCCTGCTCTCCCAGTCCTCCCCCTGATAAATTATGTGTAACATCTTGAAGTAATAGCTGAATGAGCTATGGGCACTTGGAAAACAATTTTCAACTTGAACTTTGGTTGATCTGGCCAAACCCATCAATCCTTTGTGTTATCTACATGATTACAATTGCTTGGGGTGGTTAAGTTCTCATCAATAAGGCAAAGACAGGATAGTGGGTGAAGTAAATTCTTAGGTCCAATGTTAAGAAGGTTGTCAAAATAGGCTGGGCGTGGTGGCTCACGCCTGTAATCCCTGCACTTTGGGAGGCCAAGGCGGGTAGATTACCTGAGGTCAGGAACTCAAGACCAGCCTGGCCAGCATGGCGAAATCCTGTCTCTACTAAAAATACAAAAATTAGCTGAGCGCGTGGCAGGCACCTGTAATTCCAGCTACTCAGGAGGCTGAGGCAGGAAAATTGCTTGAACCCGGAAGGTGGAGGTTGCAGTGAGCTGAGATTGTGCCACTGCACTCCAGCCTGGGAGACAGAGCAAGGCTCTATCTTATATAAAAAAAAAAAAAAAAAAAAAAAAAAGAAGGCTGTCAAAATAAACAAACAAAAAATAATCTTCATCAGCAATGTCCATAAGTGCAAAATCAGATTTCTATATTCCACATAAATGTGGTAGAATGAATATAAACACACTTATAAACAAGTTTTATTTGAAATGCTAAAGACTTATTAGCATTACTGTATTGAAGGGTAATTATACATCTCTTAATTCCTTTTTTTAAAATTGAGAAAATGGAAGATGATTTTAAATAAATGAAATGTAAAATAATCACAATATTAAAATAAAAGCAAAGTCATTTATTGAGAGCCTCCTATATACACAGGCTTTGTGCTACAATTATTAACAGTTACTTTAAAAAATAATCTTCACAAAAA
Organism: Homo sapiens; assembly: GCF_000001405.40. Lineage (NCBI taxonomy): Eukaryota > Metazoa > Chordata > Mammalia > Primates > Hominidae > Homo > Homo sapiens. The sequence continues at coordinate 81,552,901 of NC_000003.12, forward strand.
CCCTTCAATATGGGAGGGAACATTATTTCTGTTTTCAGATAATAGATCAGGAAAGTAATGTGACTTTCTAAGGTTATACAGGTATGAAGTATCAAGACTAGTATTCGAACTTAGATGTCTCTGCGTACTTTTCATTGTATCTGGCACTAAGTACATGATTTGAACAACATTAACTAGAAATCTATTATGAATGTACAGGCATTAGGGAAGGTAATGAAAGAGCTATAAAAAGAATGTACTTCCAATTCCACTATCAAATGTACGAATGAAGTGTATTTATTACTGACCTCTGCTTTCTTTGTACCTTGCATATGCTGCTACTATTGGTGTTATGATTCCACGTTGTAGCTGTTTAGCCTCTTCAGAGTTTTTTTTTTAAACTCCTGCAAAAAGGCTTGAGTGTTCTCCTGTGCTTCCACTTGCACTTGGATATATATTTTTTTCTTTACTAATGAAAGTATTTAAATAGCATTATGCTGTGTTTTGTATGTGTGTGGTTATATTGTTTTTGCCTCTTTCTATTAGACTGGGGACAGATATCCTGTATTTTCATCTATTATTTCTACTACAGCAAGCATTCAGTATACACTCAAAGATTTATTAAATAAATGTTGAAAGAAAAAAAATAAAGTCAATGATGTCTGCTTCCATTAGTAGACTATGTATTCCTCATGGAAAATGTCTTTTTTTTTTTTTTTGAATACCCAGTTGAAGTATAGAGACAGATAAAAAAGTGTCTAAAAATGTTTCTTTACAGATGCAAAATGGGTTTCTATGAGAGCCATAAGAAAAAAAAAAAAACAGACAGAAAGTACAATGGGGTAGAAAGGGGGTGGATAAAGAGGAACATATCTATACCATCAGGGAGAGAAATATTTAAATCAGAAGAGAACAGATAAAGCACTTCAGTTGTCTATTTATCAGAGGTTAGGTTTCCTTTTCTGAATGCCAGACTAATAGGAGATGCAATTTCAAATGTTCATGTTGCTATTCAAACTTTGACCTATATGCCATTTTTTGGCACATTTTTAAATTTAAAATAAATAATAAAAATATAAGACGAGGATAAGACAATGAACAAAGCAAATGAGACTAAATCGAGAATGAGTGTTATACTTTTGCACACAATGTTGTAAGAACCAGATATTATTTTCTTAATACAAATTTTCATAGCAACAGTAATGGGCTTTCACCAGTCATTTTGAGGCCATTTTGATGTTGCATGGAACAGGAGACTCAAAATACTCTATTGGGAGAAAATTAGCCACACAAAGGAAATGGTGGGGGGAAAAAAATGTTATTTTATAAAATTCAAACTGAATTCAGATTTTTTGCAAGTAAGTTAAAAATAACTCAGAAAATAATTTGCTAATGGAGAACCTTGTAAAAATGTATAAATGTTTTGCATGTGAATAAGGCACCAACTGAAAGATTCCACACCATTTTAAGCAGTAGAAAATAAGGCAGAAAAATGGGATATGAAAGCAAGGAATAAATTAGCCAACTATGAAATTGATTCTACACATGTGGCTTTGTGGCTATTGCAACTTTAGGTTTAGACTCAAAAGTTTAGTAGTGAAGACAGACTGTGCTACTTTGTTTGCCTATGATTAGGATATGCTACCGCTAAGTCAGAGTGAGTTCCTGTGGTCACAGCAAACACACATAGTGACAGAGGTTAACAAACTTCCCTAGTCAATTACTCTTTAAGAGCTAAGCACAGACATTTAAAAAGAAAGCACATAGCCACAGGGGAAAAAAATAAAAAAGATTAGTAAGAACATGTTTCCTTAAATACTCAGAATTTGATAACTGACATCAGTTTAATTGAATACTGGTATCATTCCAGGCTGGTGGAGTGTTTTTGTAAGAATCCAAGGCTTGTTCAAGGCACAGCCGGCTGCTACTTTTCTAGGTTTCCATCTCCCACAGCCTTTCTTCTGTATCAGAGCTCTAACTCCCCAAGTAGAGAGACGTAACTACCTGCTTATAACTTAATCAAAGAGCCTGTATTGGTTTGCCTTTGGATGATGCTTCTATTGCTCCAGGTTCCTGCCAACAGCTAGTTAGCCTTGTCTGCTTCCCTGCTATCAGCTCTTGCTTCCTCTCAGGCCACTGGTGCCAAAGAAAGGAGAAAAAAGTTCCATAGCAGCATGACAGCTGGTGGGAAACACTGTGAACTTCTTCCCACAATAAGAAGAAAAGGTTCTCAGTGTTTGTACTTGCTTGCTTCAGCTCTCTCGCTTTGCTCTGGGTAATGCTGATTTTGATTTTTGAAAAATGTGACTATAAAGTTATGAATTGGGCTATCAAATGGCTTTGAAGGCAATAAAAGGGAGAATTCAAACATATATAGGTTGAACATACATAAACAAACAATCTAGTATCTTTAAGATAATGGCGCTTAAACACAAATCTTTTGTCACAACCTACAAACTACCACCCTCCATATAGGTAAACCATAAACTCTTCCATATGGCTAACTCATTCTTTGTACATCTACAGGAGACAAAGTTCTAAATGACAGAAATAGTATAGCAAAGGAAAGAACACAGACGTGAAGCAATATAGTTAGTAACTTAATGGGTGCTGCATTTAATTTTTGTCATATCTAACAGTTTCATTACTTAAATTATGCCATCTGGAGGTGCTCATCTCTACTATTCACACCTGGCTGAGTAAAGTTTCTTTGCTATCTTTTGTACTTCATCTCCCAATATGCAGACCCTGCTTCAAAGAGCCAGATGACATGTAATAATCTGATCAGGACCCAGGTTTCCTGCTTCGAAGCCTTCTGTCCAGTTAGTTCTTTGACTTGCAAAGCCTGATTTTGCCTACAGAAATTCTGTCCATTCTTTATTAACCAAGTTAAATATCCCCTCCTCTGACTGAGAAGTATCTTTCCTTCAGTCAGAAAAGCATAATTTTTTTAGCTGGATAAACTGCTTTCTAGAGAATAGACATTTCCTAACGTCCCTTTATGGCTCCTTGTCTTCTTCAACGACACACAAACAGGGTTGTTATGTGAAAATTATTTCAAAGGAGCTAAGTCCAATATAAATAGTCTCTTTTTGCTCCTCTTCTTCCTTCTGGTTTAGAGCTTTGATCTGGACTATGTAGGAAGGACTTTTCAGTTGTGTGCCTTACTTTGTACAGTGAGATGTTCTGTACATGTAGATATACAGTAAAGTCTATTTAACGTAATTGTACCTAAACTTGTAAATTTCCAAGTAAATTTCCAAGCTTCCAGTAAGAAACCTGGGTAGTGCAGAAGGAGACTTAAAATAAAATATGCTATTATCACAGATCAAATATCTTACATATTTAATGTTTACTTAATGTCAAATAAACATAATATATTCAACTTTAAACAATATAAACAAAGCTATTCATAGATAAATGAAATTCCTCACCTAGAGAGTAAAAAAAAAATCCAAGAGAATTTAATTACCCTAAAAAGATTAAAATAAGAATCCAGAATTATGGCACAACAGTTATTGGAGTCCCTCATAAACTGGCACATGAATGTATAAAAAGGAAACTTTATTTCTTGAAACTTTACAAAGAATCATTAAATGTGTCAGGTATTTGGGGGTAACGAGAAACTTTTAATACTCCAAGTGACAGATGTCAAGACTCATGAATATCTAAATATTCATAACTCGGGAGACATTCTAGACTACTATCCAGGAATATATACATACTTACTTTAATGTTCTTCCTGAGACCCATTAAAGAAATACTTTTTAGGAATGGTGGGAGCACAGGGTATAAACATCAAGAAGGTAAACCCTGTGAAATGATGTATTTAATTACAAATTATATTGCAGTTTTACGCTTTCTAATAATTCTCTGAATATAAATTAGTCCAGTCTCCAGTTAAATAAAGAATTTCTCCTATAGAATTTTTTAAAAGGCACAATGATGTGTCATACAGTGGGTGAAGCATGGAATATGGATACAAAGGACATAAATTTTAGGACAACTTAAAATTTGTAATATGTCACTTACAATGTGTAACCTCCTGCTGTGTAACTTTTTGTTTATCGAACATTTATTAAATAAAAAGCATCAACATAAACTCTTAACATAATTAAATATTTTCTTACAAATGCCCAGTAAAATAGGTACCATTATAATCCCCTTTCTTAAACGATGAAGTTGAGGCACAGAAAAATTGAGTAACAAGTCAAAAATGATACAGCCAGGAAGCAAAGCAGCCAGGATCAGAATGTAGACAGACTGGCTCCAAAGCTGAACTTTTAACCATTAATTTTTGCTGTCCCAAAATAAAAATTATAAAAAAGATACCGACCTTGCACGTTGTTTGTAAAAAGTGACATTATGCATGCAAAAATGCTGCATAAACTGCAAAAGCCTAAACAAATGCAACAGACATATAAAATTATGTGGAAGTGTATATGGGGAAAAGGTCACGAAGAATAAGGATACTGTGACTTAGCTATGGCTGGATGTTAAAAATAAACAAATAAAAGGAACAACTAAAATGACTCCCAGATTTCAATGGTTAATTACCAGAATAATGAGGATAAAGAAGAAAGAAGGAAGAGGAAGAGGGAAGGAGGAAGGAAAAGAAGAAGAAAGAAAGGAGAAGGGAGAAGGACAAAAAGAAAGAAGAAGAAAGGGTATCAAGATTTATAGGGAGGATGACTTCAGTTTTGGATTTAGTGACTTAAAGGAGCCAGCAAGATAACCAGGTAGAGATCTCAGGCAGCTTCAAAATTTATGTTTGTAATTCAGAATAAAAGGTTGGATTTTGAGATAATGATATAGGAGTTATTTACATTAAAGAAATGGTCAAAGCATAAAAGTAGATGAGTTTTCTGAGAGAGGTAGGGAAGCAATAAAAGAGAACCAGTAGAACACCTGAGAAAGATGTATTAATACATTATAGAAGAAACTGAGGAGAAGGAGTCTGTGAAGCAGACAGGAGAATCATAACATAACAAAGAAGAAAGAGAAGGAGAACCTGAGGAGTCAAACTGAACCAAGAGGTCAAAGGAGTTCAGGTAGTGGGTGCAGAGGTCTGCAAGTCAATGATGATCTTGGAAACCAAAGTTCCTGAATTGTGAGACGGCATCAGGGAAAGTACAAGAGTTTGAGAGGTGGGTAGCGTATGAGGAAGCAGGATCAGCACACGTAACTATATAATGAAGTTTGGCAAATAAGAGAAAAAATGATAAAATAGTAATGAGCTTTACAGGTTGGTAACCTATTTCTCAATTTGTAAAGTATGTATTTTAAGTCAATGTGTGTGTGTGTGTTTATAGTTTCTCAGGTTCATTTCCTAGTTCTTTTATTATAATTACCAAAATAATTAAAACAAATGAGTATTAAAATCATGGTTAAAAAGAACCATGTTCAGTCCAATGCTTACTGCTGATATTGCATATTTTAGCCACCCTAAAAAAGACGACATTTACTGTTTTATTTAATTACAATTTAAAAACAAAAACAACTTAGGTATCAAATATATATCATCTATCTATCTATCTATCTATCTCATCAAGTTGCAAAGGAAATTCTGGTTGTTATAAAATATTTTTTGCTAAGGGTCAGAAAATAGCAAAATGTCTGCTAATTAGCAAAATTCAAAAATTCAGTTTTCTAACTGTAAGTCCTAATAATTATATCAGCTTCTTACAATTGAACTTTCCAAGACAAAACAAGATAGCAGTTATGAAAATATTTGTGACTCATGAGGAAACAAGTCTTGTGTGTACCCAAGGTACTGATTTTAGGAAACAAAACCATGCTTAAACATGCAGATTTCAATATATTAAATGTTAATGTGTATAATGATTATTTTCTTCACTAAAAAATAATTTTCATTATATCCATATAGTAATATTTCTATATTAGACCTTTTTATATTTAAACATGTGACCTTGAAGTCAACTGATTAAAATGAACAGATGTCCTTGTCTTTTACTCAAAAAATGATGGGTGTCTGTAGGAAAGAAATCAGAATTTAAAAGTATCAGCTCTTTATCTTAAGCTGTCTGGCCTTTGATGTTATATTTGCCCAGGCAATTCTTGCCCTCATTTAGTTGGGGGCAGCATATACTGGCAAGAGAAGGAGAAAAAGCAAGGAAGAATAAAGGAATTAAGTTGGAAGTAGGCTGGCAGTCATAGAAAATTTTTTTTCATTTTCAAAACAGTAAAACATATCTTAACTTTTAGCTACTCGAGAAGTATTTTCAAGAGAATAAGTATTCTCAATGCCAATGTAAGGAACAATATGGGGACAAAGTCTTTGTTTTATTTTACAAAGTAGAACATTTAGTAAAATGCGAATGCCTAGGCTAGGACTAAAATCTTACCCTTCTGCCCTAAAAGAAAAATTTACACATCAAACTAGAAAACTGAAACAATTATCATTAAGGTACTATTTTGAGGTAATCAGACTCTAGTGGGCAACCCTGGTGTAGAAGGCCCAGAAATGACAATATGAATAATGCAGTGTTGCTCAATTCTTTTTTCATTATGTATCCTCCCTACCTACTCCCTCACTTACCCTGCAGAAGCCTCTTCAGCCATTTTTTTTCCAAATTGTACCCACCCCATGAAGTTTTGATGCTCCAAATACTATTGCATATCTGTTTATATGCTGTGGCACTCTGGAGAGCCACACACTATTGTATCTAAGGTTTTATTTGTTCTACCAGAAAAATCAATTTTTGCCCCTATTGGGGTTGATATCACCCCGCCGAGAATGCACAGATGATATACACTTGAAGATAGCCACGTTGCTGGAATTGGTTTTATACACTCTGCTTTATGTGTAGAGGAGGTGCTCTGCCTGTATCAAGCAATCAAGTAATTGTTTGATTATACCTCTTCAAAGAGAATACAAAAGGAGTACACCATCAAACTCTCTTTAGAAGCTATCAGAAAAGTCTGCTCCAAAAATATTTGGAATGACTAATGAATAACAAAACAGTAGCTTTCCAATGTTGCAAGCAAAATAACATGTTCAACTTTTCATTTATTCTACTAGTATCTATTTGGCCTCATTTATAGTACAGTCCATACACAAAGGATTTTAAAATATCCTAATTAAAAGAAAGAAACAAAGAGACAGATCCTTATATGTTCACATAGCTTTCATGAGAGTCTTGCTTTAATAAATAAAATGTCCTCTAAAAAGTCAATAAATGGATTTCTCAGAATGCACCAGGCTTATGAATGTTTATTTGTTCAACACATAATAATTAAGTTCTCATCGTACCACAATTTTACAGTCTATAGGTGAGTATAAAATAAGCTGATCTAAAAAAAAATTTTTAAGTGCACAGCATTTCTACATTATAACAAAAAGGTAAATAAAATTTCAAATGTGGAGAAAGTCATAGCACTTTAAAATAACATTTTTAATCACATAGATCAGATAATGTTTCTTACTAAACTATAAAAATCATATTGGAATAATCTAAGATATCTAACTGTCTTCTTGTTTATAGAAAGTTGATAATACAGCTGCCTACTATGCTGGGAAGGAAAGACTATAAAAATGACTCAGTATAACAATTTCAAAATAAATTTATCAATTTGTTATCAATTATACCATGAAAATTTTATCTATGACCCACATAAAATAAAAACATGATGTATAAAAGATTAAAGTTCTGAAAAGGTATGAATTACCTAGGTTTTCAAACTTATCTTTGTCATTTCATCTCTTCACCTCCACATGGTCATCTCTGCGTATTTCAAAATGGTATCTCTGAATTTTGGTTTTGTGTGTGTTGGTGAAGCTCAGGCACCTATCACATTTGGCTTTATTAAATTTAACTTGGAAGAGTCTATCAGATAATTGTGTGCAAACGAAGTTGAAAAGCTGTTTCTGGGTTGTTTCTCTTATGCTATAAAATTCCTTCGTAAAAACTGAAATAAGGCTTATATTTTTAAGCTTAATAGTATAGTCTTTTTTTGTTAATTGTAGACGTATTTCCTAAGTGTATTTTTAGGGGAAAGACAAGTATTATAAGCATTTCTACAGAACTGTTTATGGTTTTAAAAGCTATAGTATTATTTTTTCTCATTTATAACTTATACTTCTATGGGTACAACTTACTTTAAGACACATAGTTATATAAAACCTCTTTTACAAAAGATGAATCAGGTGGCAATTTTTGCTGTATTACAAAATTCCTTAAAAAATAAACACATTTTTCAACTGCACCTATCATTACTCAGTTTACAAACACCAAATTAAAAAAAATTACAGATGATAACGTATAAAGTGTTACACCTATACTACCTTATGTTTTTAAATTGCTTAAATCAAGTAGCTGTGTCAGTTTTGAGTTGTGAAATATAATGCAGAAGTTGATTCAAACTTGTACAGTCAAAGAAACACAACTCTTGTCTCATGGACTAAAACAATTTTCCAGTGTTTGATTACCTAAAATATGAATATGCAGTAAAAATAATTTACCTGAAACAATGGAACAGTATTTCATTTTGTACATGATAAGTTAGGCAGAGTTAATGAATATCTCTTTTATTTGAGTCAACAGAGGGATAGAAACTTTACTTCCCTCGTAATCTTTAGCAAGACCTTATTTTTTTAAAAAAATGAAGTGGATGATTTCAAACTGCTCCAGAGTGGCGGTATATAAAATTTACTGACTGACATGACAAGTGTGGAAAGAATTTAGACCTACAACTTTAAACTAATATGAAAGAATTCTGGTGGCAAAAGGTCATTTCTATATTTAGTTTGAGGTGACAGCCCCTTCAAATCCATCTTTTACATTATCAATCAAGTAACATATCTAAACTGGATCTGACCATGCCAATCTCCTGCAAAACCCTTCAAAAGCCCTCTACGACCTGGCCTCTGCTTCTAGGTTCAGCCTTCTCTCTCATCATTCATGATCTAAATTAGTAAGGCCCTCATTCTGTTTCACCTTCTTAGCTTTGTGTAGCCACCATTCCAGTGATGGGACTACACAGAGGATCAGCATGGAGGTGAAACGGATACTTTAAACTTAATCTCTTCTTCCAAAGCAGGCCTTTCTTCATGGCCTGCAACTTCCTTGCCTAAATATTGGTTTCGTGATCTTTCTTGAAGTACTCACGGTGCTTTATGCAGATCTTGAAGGTGAAATTTATTACCGAACACACTCGCATCTGTCTTGCTTTGTTTCCTCTCTGGATAGTGAGCTCCTTGAGTTAAGACTAAGTGTTCTCTTTTGTTACCCAGTTCCTAGGATAGTGCCTGGCTCAGCAGTAGGTGCCAAATTAGTGTAGAATGAAGAAATAACTATCACAAGTAAACAAAGAGGACCATTAAGTAATTTGTAACATTGGTTCATAATTTGGAAACAAATTACTTTCTCCCTTGATTTGTTTGATAGACCACAGTACAATACAAAATTTGATCTGTTGTTTTCCTCTTTGTTGCATCTCCTCTGGATGAATGACTGTAGTTAGAGCTGCACCAACACCACTACCAACATTAGCATTCATTTTTGGGCAAAATAATACTACTGTCTTATATAGGGTAGTGATGCAGAGCCTACATTTTGGAGACAGACCAGCTGGGTTCAAATTCTGGCTCCTTTATAAATCTGAAAGCCACTTAACCTTACATTTCCCCTAGGTGTGAAGAGAAGGGAATCATATCTACCTCTCAGGAGTATGACAAAGTTTTAAATGAGATATTATATGTAAAGCACTCAGTGCACTGCCTTGCTCTGAGTAAATTTTCAAGAAATTATAGCCATTTTTACAGTAGTAGGGTGCTAAAAGACTGTTAAGTTGAGGCAAGTCATCTAAATAATCTGTATCCCCTCAACCTCTCAAAGAAAATATATCGCCAAAGAGAAACCTATGTCTCTCTTAGTGAGAAGGAAAAATGAAAACTAACTGTATTTTCTAAGTAACTGAGAGATTCTCTTTACTATTTTGAGACGGTATGTATAGGTCACTTTCATCTTTTTTTTTTTTAATGGGAGGGGGACCAAGTTGGGATGGAGAAGTAAGGACTCAGGTAATAATCTAAAATTTTAGAGGCAGAGAAATTCATCTTTTAAACTCCTAGTCTCCTATTGTCGAGTTGTTCAGGAGAAAGGTTGCCAGAGCAAGATATCTGTGTTTAGAGCACTCATCACTACGTTCTATGAGATGACAGCCATATAGCTCACCAGTTTGACAATACATCTCACATTTTTCAGCCTATGGATCCTTCCAGCCTGCATGAATAACACTGGCAGAGTCCGGTATTCAGTCTTTGAGCTAAAATGAAGCCTCTGATCAATTCTTTTTGGAAAGAAGATCTGTAGGTTTTCTGGTAACCTCTAGAAACTTACAGAAAGTGTGCTAAGTGGCTGTGAGCCAAATAACAAGCATTACTAATATAGCAAAATTAGAAAGGCGAGAATTAGTGAAGGTGAGAGATGATTTAAGAATTAACAACACGGCAGAAATACTGTGAAGAAAACCCATACCATGGTACTCTGTAGAGTGATGTCAGGAAAGGGTAGGGCTATTCATTTGTTTGCATGTCCAACAATAAAGTGAGGCTGTCACTCAGGTGGGTCTTTGGGATCAAATCGAGGGAAGGCTTAATTGAAGATGTAACACCAAATTACAGACTCAAGGCTAGAATTAATGCCCATTGTATATTAATTTATCTTTATTCCTAGAGTAGCAATCTATTCCCCTGCACCAGCCCTTAAAGGTGACCTATCCAGTTCCCTGTATTTAAGGGAATCTTTTGTGAGTCACTGGGGCTCACGGTTAGAAAATGAAACTTTGAAGTGCTTATAAAATGCTAGGTAATTAAGTAATAAATAAGGCTTGATAAAAGTTTATATATTTCTATATAATGTTAAAGTAAACCATACCTCCATTCTGCAAACTCAATTGTCTATAACCTAACAATGGAGCTGGAGAGGTTTAGATATATAAGTAACCTTCTAAGCCAGAGTTGTGTGGATAATGAATACATTCAGGGAGGGAGAGACGGAGAAAGGGAGGGAGGGAGGGAGTGAGGGAGGGAGGAAGGAAGGGACGAAGGAAGGAAGGAAGGAACGGAGGAAGGAAGGAAGGATTGTTATGGTTTAAATGACAATATCCCCTCTAAAATTCCTGTAGAAATTTAATCACCAATGGAACAGCATTAAGAGATGTGGCCTCTGGGAGGTGATTAAGTCATAAGGGCTCTTACATCACGAATGGAACTAACACCTTTATAAAAGGGCTCAACATTTAAAGGAACACTTTCCTGCACCTCTGTCCATTTCTCCATGTGAGGATACAATGCCCATCCTCACATGGACATTGCCTCAGAGGCATGAGAACAGAGGTGGACCTAGCTTAGATGGATGAAAAACAGAGAATATCTGCACCTGGTCACACCTGGGCACCGCAGTGGGTGTATTCCTATGGTTCTCACTCCATCTTTAAAAGGGCCTCAGCTGGATACAGCCCAACTGAGGAGAAATTCAAAAGGAGTCAACACCACGGCCACTGACAATCACAAATATCCCAAAGGAAGAAATGTAGCAGTATTTCCGGGGCATCCTATCCTAAGACCAAGACTGAAAGAATTAGAGATAGTTAGGTTCAGTTGCTTCTTTTTTTCCTCTCCAGAATATTAGTATAATCTTTTTATATTTGTAAAAGATTTTCTGTATTCAGTTTGGTAAATGTGGGTGGGTAGAAAAAAATGTGGGTAAGTTACATAAGCAATGTTCTCTAAAGTGACTCTTCTCAAAGGTTATGGTCATCAGGAAGGATCTGAGGTGAAATTGTTCTTATGAAAGCTAACCTGGCAGGAGTTTTTCCAGTAGTGGGCATTTAAGTCACCTGGGAAAGAGGGCTGAGGACATTCTCTCGCCTGGCTTCCAGTGACTCCGGCACAGTCCAGGTCAATCTGTCTCTCTCAATCTTCATTTTTGCATGTTCTTCCATCAGTGGATCTCTATGTTATACTTTCACAAATTAAAATTATTTGGTGAGATTTTTCAAAACAACTACTGCCAGAGCCTTACACTCAGCGATTCTGTCTCAAATGGTTGGGGTCAGGCTCTTGGGCTTCAATATGTTAAAGCTCCCCAGGTAATTGTAGCAGCACTTCCTTAACTCCTAGTGCAATGTCATGCTCATGGTAGGTTCTCATTAAATGCCAGCTAACCCTGGTTAACAGTGTGCTGTGAATCAAATCAGGGCCATTGCTTTTAAGTCTGTGCCATTTGGAATATACGCTATTTGTATCTCTGAGCATTTTAACAGAACTTCAAGCCATTTACAACTGCTCATATTGAGAATTTTGCAGTTTTTCACAGCTCAGTTTTATAGACTTCTATGAGTCATGTTACATTCAGCAAACTTGCCTCAACAAGCTAAAAGAAAATGCCAAAAATTAGCATTCCCACTGTTCAGGAGAGTGTATTTTGTCTTTCTATAACTGCCTTAATTCCAGCGCTTAGCAGGAAGACATTTAAATCTTTATTGTATTCCTATCTATCAGAAAAATAGAAGAATTTACAAGTTTGACACTAAACAACCACAGATGGAAGATTTGAAGTAAGATCACACATTTTATACTGAAGTCTAATGTAGCGATCAACAAATGCAGACTGACACTTAGGACAAAATCCATCCAACTTCCCCTGTGGCTTTGGGGAGAATGTAACATATTCATTAAAGAATGTCCTACAAAATTATCAAATGTCAAAATACAATATAATTATATTGAGAAAATCCTTTAAATTTAGTAATGGAAATTTCATAATACTGCTGAGAGAGAAAATTGCCAGTTTGTAATTATGCCTTTTTCTCCACAGGTATCACTCATTACAGAAACCAGAATAACATCATGATAATAAGAGTGCTAAACAAGAAAGCAGGAAAAACATATGTACACATATCAGATGACCTACATTATAAACAAAAAATACTTTGTTCTCTATTGCCATGATTTTTGTTTGCATATAAATCTATTTACATACATTTTGTATATATTTGTATACAAATCTATTTATATACAAACAATATAAGAAAGGCAGAAAGGCTTCTGATTTAAACTTTATTTACTGATGAAAATATATTTTAGAAAGCTTCTCAATAATACCCAGCAGCAGCCCCATTCGGGTTTGCTTTGTTTGTTACGGGAAATCCAAGTTCAGCCTCCTGGCCAGGCACTGATAGTTGAACTCACCACATACCACAATCTGAACTTTTCTTCTCTTCCTCCAAAATCCTCTTGCTATGCTCACTACAACTTCTGTTCTAAAACAGGAGAACTTTCCTATATCTTTTACGACCTCTTAAAATTCTCTCTTCACTTCCTAGCCTTAAGAATCACCTGGGAATCATTTTAAGATTCTTTTTCAATGCCCGAGCCCTAGCCAAGACCAATTAAATCACAATTTCTAGGTATTTGTCATAGACATCAGTGGTTTTGAAAGTCCCCAGGTGATTCCAATGTACAGACCATTTTGAGAACCAGTTGGCTATTGGTTCTTTAATATGTTAGTTATTTGCTAGTACTTTCAAAATCCTTCCTTTTTTTGACAGGTGCCTGACAAAACTACAATCCTTGATCAACACTAGCCCTCTAGGAAAAAAGGCACACAACCAAGAGGCTGGATCAATTTGTACTCCTGATTACAAATATCTAACGAACATGCAATATTACCTGGACACCCTACTATAGTTCTCTGGTATTTTCACTCCTAGAGATGTCTATCTCATACCTTCTATTTTTTCAAACATCTCTTATTCCTTCCTCCTTTTGCTCTCAAATGATAATCTCACTGAGAATATAAAAGTTATCAATCATGAATTTTTTCATCTTCACAAAACCCCACTTACAACCAACCTTCACCTGTATTCATTTTTGTCTTTTTTCTGGGGGGAAGGAGGACTTCTGTATAAACATTTACCTTTCCACTTGTGCTTTGGAACTACAGTTCTCCTTTAGGCAGCCCCTTTCCCTTCTATGTTGATCTTGCTCTCACCACGGAATCATCCCCTTTGAATAGGCCTTTTCTGAACACAAACATGTTCTTATATTTCATAAGAAAACAAACCTCTCTCGATCCCCATCCCACTCGAACTGCTATCTTATTTATCTGCTGCCTTTATTAGACAAACACCTCAAAAGAGCTGTCTGCAAAAGCATTACTTGACTTTCACTTTTAAACCCACTCCATTCTGGCTCTCACGCTCATCATCCCCTCAGAATCAGTCTCGTCTAGTTCACCACTGGCAACTTATTTGTCCTCATTTCATTCAGCTGCTTAACATTATTCAACATGGATGGCCATCTCCTCTTTTTTCAAATACTATATTTTGGTTTTCAAGGTGTTGAAATCTCAGGATATGTCTTCTTTTTTCCCTATCATTCCTTCTCAGTCTGCTTTTATGCCTTCTCTTTGTTGAGATATCAGTGTTCCTCTGGGATCCTGGACTTTCTTTTCTTCCTGGTTCATGGTTCTCAATTGCAGGAGCTGACCTCATTAGTATCATGGCTCTAGCAAAATTCATATGTTGAGAAATACCAATTTTATTTATCCAGTTCTCTGAGTTCAAACTGTTTGCCATTTCATTTGAGTCTTTCAAAGAAACATGAAGATAATATACCTAAAACTAAACTCCTCACCTTCACTTCTAACCTGACTCTAGCCTTATTTGTCTCATACAAAGTGGTACCAACAGGTAATGGCTGCTTAAGCCAAAAACCTGAAGTCATTCTTTGATTCCTCTCTTTGTCTTATGGCCAAAGACTATTACTAAGACTTCTTGATTAAATCTACCTCCAAAATTATATCTTGACTCTTTTTGCCTCTTTCTATCTCCACTGCTATCATTGTCACTCTTTTGACTACTTCAACAACCTCCTGAGTAGTATCCCTGCATTTACTCTTGCCCTAGTCAATCCTTAAAAAGCAACAAAGGTTATCTTTGTCAAACAGATTGCACCTTCATATGACTCTCTTTAAAATGCATCTGAAGTTATAATGCAATGTCCACTTCTTTACCAAGACCTATAATGACCTTTATGATCTAACTCCTGCCTGCCTTTCCTATTTCTTGAGTACTAAGTTACAGTGACACTAGTCTCCTTTAATTTCCTTGAATTCCCCCAGCATTTTCCCACCCCTGGGCTTTTGAACATTCTGTAACCTCTCTTTAGAGAGTGTTTTTCTGTGATCTTTACGAAGTATATTTCAAGTATTTAAAGATCTAGCTTACAGCCATCTTTGGATTCTCAATTTTTTTTTTTGAGATGGAGTCTCGCTCTGGCACCCAGGCTGGAGTGCAGTGGCACGATCTGGTCTCACTGCAACCTCTGCCTCCCGGGTTCAAGTGATTCTACTGCCTCAGCCTCCCAAGTAGCTGAGACTACAGGTGCGTGCCACCATGCACAGCTAATTTTTGTATTTTTAGTAGAGACGGGGTTTCATCACGCTGGCCAGGCTGGTCACCAACTTCTGACATCAAGTGATCCACCGGCCTCAGCCTCCCAAAATTGTGTTCTCAATTTTAACAATGTTTTTGTTTTCTTTGTGTCACTTATCATTTGCAGGTTTTTTATTTGTTTTGTTTTGTTTTGCCATTTCTCTCTGTTGCCCTTAACAGAAATTAAGCTTCCTGAGGAAAGAGGCTATATTTATCCTGACCACTTTGCATGTCAAGCATTTAGTAGAGTAACTAAAACAATTCCTAGTACGGAATGTGTACTTAGTAACTACCTGAGTTAATGAATGAGTGAATGAAAGCAAGCATTCCAAAAGTTCCCAAATGCGTTAAGGATTGTTCTTAAAAGGTTGACTTAAGGGAGGAAAAAGACTTAAAAAATATTGTGTGTCTGTATCTGTGTTAGACACGAACGTGTGTGTGTGTATATATATATATGTGCATGTGAGTATATGTGAAGACATATATATGTATGTGTGTGTATATATATACATATATAAATGGAGAGATAACATTTATACACAGATTGTGAGCTAAATGGAGAGATAACATGTATACACAGATTGTGAGCTATCTAGGAGAAACTATTGACTATTAAAATGCCATAAACATTCCAGCTACCACCCCCCCAAAATATGAATTGACATTTTAAAGATCTAAAAAAAATACCAAATTACATGTGACCAATATTAGAAAGGAGCTATACTTAACATCTTACTTCAATTCACTAGTGACACAACTGTTTTATGGAACATTTATATTTATATGATAAAAATTTAATTTTTCCCAAATGTCCAAATTACATTTGAAAACTAATTTTTTAATGTTTTTAGTTATTACTGACATTAGCACTAATAAGGGTAAACAATAGGGGAATTAAAAAAACTAATTTAAATGTAGGACATTAGGAATTAAATTTTACTTTGGTTTCAATGCTAAGATAAAAAATGTTACAGGACATGTAAACTGTGAAATATGCCATTTAAAAAGATTTCTCTTATAGCAGTAATACATAGCAATATGTAAAGGCCAACTAATATTTTTTGACCTTGTTGTTCTGCCATTTACATGATATGGCATTCCACCAGTGAGTAGAAGATGTGGCAAGGGGTCAGAGATGTTCATGCCCTTGCCATTTAAGAGCTTGACCTGTGAGTTGCTTATACAGCACTACCATTAACATCCTTCTGGCCATAACTGCTGGTCACATGACCTCAGCAGGCTTCCAAAGAACCTGGGGAATGTGCTTGTTATTCTGGCCATCCATGTACCCAGTTAAAATTTGGAGGAAAAGTGTTAATGGAGAAAACTAGCAGTCACGACCACAGCTATGAGAGAGCAGACGGAGTATCTATCACACAAATACAACACATTAGTAAACACTTAACTGAAAAACTGTTTCAAACATTGATTTCTAATAAAGAAAATAATTGCCACTTTTCTTTGCTTACTTATTTTATTTTATTTTTTTAATTTCAAGATTTTGCTCTTGTTGCCCAGGCCGGAGTGTAATGGTGTGATCTTAGCTCACTGCAACCTCCACCTCCCAGGTTCAAGAGATTCTCTGCCTCAGCCTCCCGAGTAGCTGGGATTACAGGTGCCTGCCACTACACCTGGCTAATTTTCTGTATTTTTAGAAGAGATAGGATTTAACTTGCCAGGCTGGTCTCAAACTCCTGACCTCAGGTAATCCACCCACCTCAGCCTCCCAAAGTGCTGGGATTACAGGTGTGAGCCACCATGACTGGCCTGCTTACTTATTTTTATAAAGCCAAAGACAATATTAATTTTCAGACTAAAATATACGGTCACTAGGTGTTTCTTTTACAGTGATAACTTCTAATTAACCTAAGAAACAGAATGTTAAATTAGAAAAAAAAATTCTTAAAGGCATGCAGTTGACATATTTTACAGAAATCTATGGGATTAAGAATTTGTACCATTTGTTCAAAGTATCCTGATTGCCAACACAGATTCAGAACTCATAACTGATCTATTGGCTCTCAGGATATGATTGTTGTACTAAAATTACAGATGTTTCTCATAAGTGTGAGCAAGATGTTATGAATCTCCAAGCATGAAAGATATTCCCAAATCTTAAGAGGGAGAAGATGAAGGTTGATGGATTTCACACAAAGTAAAGTTGCATAAAGTTACCACAGGTATTTTCAAAAAGTGCATGATCTTTATAATTTAACGCCTGCCTACTTTTTACTTCCTGTGTATCAGGAAATGAAATTGGAGACTGGTGTAATTGTAACTTAGTACTCAAGAAGTAGGAAGCAGAGATATCTGGGTGGAAAGGTAGGCAGTAGTTGGATCATAAAGGATGTTATAGGCCTTCATAAAGGGGTGGGCATTGCACTATAAGTTCATTGATCATGTGTATACAGTATGTCTTTAAAAGCCTGAATTGGAACACCACTAGTTCTTAATTCTCTTAATTCAGTTAGAATAAAAGAAGGTATGGGTTTCTAAAGAGCCTAAAAAACCATAAACATAATTATATCTGTAAATGTGTCCCCATACATGCTGGCAAGTAGAAAAATAACTCCATGTTTATTTTCTACCAAGTGCCCTATATAAAAGATAATGATAACATGATTGCTTTTAATAGTAGGAATTAGGCTTTTAAAGTCAAGACAGTATACACTCAGGATCTAAAGTCTTCTTTAACAGGAAAAGCAACATATTACTCTGAAACAAACAAAAATAAAATGGAGGGAAAAAGGAGGTAAATTCAAGGTGGAAGGATAGGAAAAGAGACAGAATTCCAGGAGTCTGACTTCCTACATCATGTCCCATAGCGTTATCTGCACACACAGCTCCTCATATACCTTTTTACTTATTTCCTCCTTTTATTACTTTTCTCCGTTGAAGAGGGAAGACATTAGACATGGAAATAATGAGTTTGATTTGAATGAATTAAGGAATGAATGAGCAAACAAATAAACCAATGGGTTTAGTTGATTCCAGATTTCTTCTGATATTTCAACTTATGTGTTAACATCTCATGTCATGGGGAATATGTTTTATAATGACAACACAGGTTTTCAGTTATATGGAGCACTGAGCTACATTACAGAAGTGAAATGTTGCTGGTTTTCTTGATTTAAGTCTGCTAGTTCAGTATTTTTTTAAATGAGAAATGTGAATCATTTATGTTTCGAGGTATACCCGGAGAGTTATATAAAAAGCATTAAATTTCAAATAGAGTGAAGCTATACTCATTTAAAAAGTGCTCTTCTATAACACTACAATCCCCAGGAGGAAGAAGAAAATGACAACTGATGAAAGTAAAGCTTCTGTTCCAAGAATAATTTTTACTTTAGTTCAAAGTATTCTGAACAAGTGGAATATTAACATGACAGTACTAAAAGTGATTCAGGTCACTCTACATTTGAATCTTTACCTATACGTTATGAAACTAAAGAAGAAGTCAAACCAGGGTGGAAAACAAAACAACTTTTTTTAAAACAAAACTGGCAGTAAGCTATTGATAAAAAAGATTCCAGTACCCATAAAGAAATCTAAAGGTTATTTTTAAAAAAATTCTTAAAGTTAGAGACTTGATTACTTGAGAATTGACATGGTTAGGCTTTGTGTCCCCACCCAAATCTCATCTTGAATTGTAATTCCCATAATCCCCACATGTCAAGGGAGAGACCAGGTGGAGATAACAGAATCATGGGGGCAGTTTCCCCCATGCTGTTCTTGTGATAGTGAGTTCTCACAAGATCTGCTGGTTTTACAAGGGGCTCTTCCACCTTTGCTTGGCATTTCTCCTTCCTGCAGCCTTGTGAAGGTGCCTTGCTTCCCCTTCACCTTCTGCCTTGACTGTAAGTTTCCTGAGGCCTCCCCAGCTATGCTTAACTGTAACTCAATTAAACCTCTTTCCTTTATAAATTACCCAGTCTCAGGCAGTTCTTTACAGCAGTATGAAAATGGACTAATAAAAGAATGAATAAAATATGTGTATTTAGCTGTCCAGTATAACTTTCTCCTTACTATTGCCCAATGTAGTATAAAGTTACAAAGATCTTTCTGAGAAGCCAGAAAATGTTTCACAAAATACCATTTGTGTCTCAATGATGGCAAGATTTTTAAGCAGGTTATTTTTTAAGTTCACATTTAAAAAGTCATTAGACATTATTTCATTTTCAAATTTATGATTAATTTTTAAATTTTGTTTAGTTAGCAGATTCTTAAAATTACATTCTACCTTGCCTGTCAATATTTAAATCAGAAAGATATGTTCTTAATTCTTATATTTTAATTTATGCTTTACTTGATATTTTAAAACATCTGTACATGTTTATATATTTAAAATGAATTAAATATTTGGTTTCTTCTCTTGTTTTTTATAATTCTATGTAGCGTTTAATAAGAAAATCCTTTAATGCCCTTATTTTCATATTATATGGAATTAAAATTGCAGTATCAGGGTTGGTGTTTTTTTCCCTAATGTGATCACTGGACATAGTAGTCAATTTGCCTGCCTAAACCAGCATGTTCATAGCAACATTCCTGGGTCACATGATAAGGCCATATGACTCTACTCCCTCTGCCTCAGCTGACTGAATTAGGAAAGGATAGCATTTCCGTGATAACCAAATAAGCACCAGAAAGCTGAGTAAAATACATTCACTGAGGTCATCCTATGCATAAAGTTGATGTTTTTTATTTTATATTTATTTTTGAACACGAAGCATACTTAGCCAATGATTATTTAAAAAAAAATAAACCATAATGTCACATAACCATTAATACTAGTTCTAACTGAAGAGTTAACAATATTTTAAAGTAATTTAAAGTGATTGAAACTCATCTTTTCATTAAACTTGCCAATCAGAATGGCATGTAAATTGTTTTCTTTAGGCCCCAGTTTTTTTCATTTATTCAAAGTTTAATAATCTTAACTGGCTGTAATCTCAAATTATCAGTCAATTGCTTCAAGCCTACTCTTACTTAGACTATTACTGATCTCATACATAACTTTCCTGTGGCTTCCTATTCCAAGCTGGTTTGGCTAAAGCATATCATATTTTTACCAACAATCTCCAAAACAAGTTTCCTAAATATTTACACAGCATTTTCTGCTTATCTGTATCACTGAACCTAGTGCATGCATTACTATAAAGGTATTTGTCTATCACTTGCCTGTATTCCCTTTTGGGTTTTAAGGCCTTGAGGGCAAGAACTATTTTTCATCTCTGAATACATACCACTTAGTAATACCTGGTATATCATAGATACATATAAATGTCTTAAGCATAAAGAAATCTTACAACATTTTAGAATGCATTATGAATATATTAAATTTATAGTTTAAATTAATATACACCTCAAATACACTAACTTTTCAGACTGAATTTGCTCTAAGTCAATTTGCCTTCTCTCTCTCTCTCTCTCTCTCTGTGTGTGTGTGTGTGTGTGTGTAGAAATTCTGTGCACAGGTACCATAAAAACAGTAAATTTCATCTGATGCTCTATCTGATGCATATATACACACATAATTATATACACACAAAGGAAACAGTCAATTCATAATAAATGTTAACTGAGCAATATGATATTGGCTTATCCCAAAAATAAAAACAAATTGAGGCAACCCTCAGACTTCCTCACACATGAAAGCTAAGGCTGTTTCAGCAGCATCGTTCAGTAGACATCATTATGACTAAAAAACTCAGAAGGTAAATTGGTGAGACTTAATGCAGAAATGGCTTAATTTATCACATAACATAAATTAGGAAAAGAACATTGATTTTTAACAAATCACTACATTTACTGATATTTTAAAGTAGAAATGAAATAATCTTTTATTTTAAACAATGTACTATCAGACAACATTCTAAAAAACACAATTAAATGGAATTAGGACATCAGCATTCAGGTACCATATAGTTAATGGAGTAACTGATAATATTAAAATATAGTAACCGTCAATTTAAATAATAGTTAACTATAAGCTATATGCCTGCAAATACTTTGTGTTTTATATAAGTATAACAGTATTAAGTCATTTCACCCTCAAAACAATCTGACGAAGCAGGCACCCACTTTATCACTGAGCCGATGAAGGCATAGTTGATGCATCTTACCCAGATCACACAGCCAAAAAGGGAAAGGCACAGATTCCAACCCAACAGTATTCTTAACCACTATGCTGTACCTTTTCTCTAAAAAGTATTCATAAACCATGTATTTGTGGCTAACTAATCTAGATACTGATCTCAGAGTAATTTTCATTACAATTTTTCTCAAATTGGAAATCAGAAGAAAAAGGCAACTGACCAGCTGCCGAAATTTTCTGGTTGTGCAAACTGAGGCATGTCCCTATATGTCTCTGAGTCGAAGTTTTAGCAAAATGGACTTAGAATGTCTACGTAGCATGCCTTATTATTCTTATAACTTTTGGCCCCAGGTTTCTTTTGAACAAATATCTGGTATAAAAAATAAAAAGGAAATGGAATGTTCATTTAGATAATAGATATGAAGTGTTTTAGAAAGTATAGAATGAGGCCGGGGGCAGTGGCTCACGCCTGTAATCCCAGCACTTTGGGAGGCCGAGGCAGGCGAATCACGAGGTCAGGAGATCGAGATCATCCTGTCTAACACGGTGAAACACTGTCTCTACTAAAAAATACAAAAAATTAGCTGGGCGTGGTGGCGGGCACCTGTAGTCCCAGTTACTTGGGAGGCTGAGGCAGGAGAATGGCGTGAACCCGGGAAGCAGAGCTTGCAGTGAGCAGAGATTGCATCACGGCACTCCAGCCTGGGCGACAGGGCGAGACTCCATCTCAAAAAAAAAAAAAAAAGTAGAGAATGCTATGTCGATGTTACTGACAAAAATAATTTAGTTATTGCTGATCTCCCTTCTATATTCAATTATTTCATATATGATAGAATAAAAAAATACAAATCTATTTATTCATAAAACCATTCACAATAACCTAGCAAATCAAAAAAGCATAGTAAATATTTCACAGCTATAACCAGAGTGAAAGAATTTTTTTGAAATTCAAAATTAGAATACATAAGACAAAAACAAAACAAAACAAATCAGCCAAACTGGTATTCTGAGAAAATCTACATTAATCTTAATGACTTTTGATAAACAGAACATATATCTGAATGCCTGACAAATAAATTTACGTAAACATGTTTTTATAAAAATATGTGCTATACAAATGTATAGTTGTTTTATTTCTTTTGACTCACTGTTTCTCTCCTGGAGGAAAATAAAAAATAAAATTCCAGAAAATTAACAAGTTTAGAAATGCCTAAAAGATAAGTAAACAATCAAGTTGTTTCTTAGTTTTGAAAAAATTTCTTAAATTGCTCTTTTTAAATATTAATTTCTATATGCCATTAGAAAATATCACCTTGCTTATAACTAAAACTGGTTATTGCAGCTAATGAACTAATGCTAAAACAGTATTACTATCTGTAGTTTTACTCAGAAAACATACAAACAAAGGAATATTCTTTAATACATGGGAAGGTAGCCTTGTATTTGTTACTTTAAAAAAAATGCTGTAGTTTTCAATTTTCTCACCTTGGTATAAGGTTCCTCATCAGCCCCATCTCTTACTATTTCTAGTTTTTTCATGTAGACTTTTTTTCCTCACAAGTGACAAATCTTACTTTTTAACCTCCTGCTAAAAGCCTTAATCATTCTTTGTTCACATTCAATAATGTTTTAAGGTGTACGTCAACCTAGAATTATTTTTCAGTCAGTAATAGCACAAAGTGAGGTATTTTCTCTCTGAGTATTCATGGCAGCTTAAAAAATTGAAATTTAACCTAATAAACATTTTATTACATTGTATGATGAAGGTAATGCATTAGGCAATGTATCATACTTACTTATTATACATGATAACTATAATAATCATAGTTATCAAATAGAAAAATATTTTATCCTAAATTTAGGATATGACCATCCTGTTTTAGATTGTAAATTCTCTGAAAGCAGTTATCATCTTCTATTTTATGTAATTATGTATCTACAGATACATAAGGATTTCCTTCTGTAGATGATAGTAATTTTATACTTTTGTACATGAAATAAAGCATTTAAAATATCTCACTAGGTCCTCAGTTTCCTTACTTTACATGGTGACATGGTTATTTGCATAGGTTCATACAGTTTACTTATTCATCAGGATATAGTTACATAAATTGGCTGTATAACTAAGGCCTTACGGAGTGCCCATATTGGAGAATGATGCATCCTGAGTCAGGTAGAACCATTGCTTTTAAGGAACTAAGGCTGACTTTATTTATGGAACCAATCATTGCAAAGTCCATCCAGGGAACTTGACCTGATACCTGGCTGATGCGATACAGTCTCACAACTCAGGAAGGTCACTTCCTGGAAGGCTAGGGATGTCAACAAATTTCAGTGACCCTGAGAATAGAGGATACACCCAAAGGTACAGGTAGTATACGTGAAATCTGTGTATGCTTTCTCGGGGTTGGCTTCCTAACCTCCAGTTAGTAAAAAATAAAGGCTTTTAAAAGTTCAATCTGAGATTTCTTACAAAAATTTCCAAGTAGAAGTGAATAATTCAAAGATCCAGGGCTTTTTAAAAATTAGAGATAGGGTCTTGCTTTGTCACCCTAGCTGGAGTGCATGATTATAGTTTACTACAACCTCAGACTCCTGGGCTCAAACAGTCCCTCTGCCTCAGCCTCCTGATTAGCTAGGGTACAGGCACGCACCACCACACCCAGCATTTTTTTTTTCTTCTTTTGGTAGAGATGGGGCTTTTCCATATTGTCCAGGTTGGTCTCTAACTCTTCGCCTCAAGCCATCCTCCTCCCTCAGCCTCCCAAAGGAATCAGATTAAAGGTGTGAGGCACCACCCACCCTGAGTCTTTTATTGTAGAAAAATAAAACAGCCTTTTGTATATATTCCCCAGTCTTTGTGTCTTTCTCTAGTCTAAAAGCTGTAAAAATTTCCTAAAACTCGAATGTTTCAATGTCTGCTGTTCACCAACTAGAAGTCAATTTTTATATTTTATTTCAAGAGCTTTCAGACAAAAATGACCTTTCAGTATTCATATTTTTCTATTTTAAAAAATAAATTTCTTTTTGTCCAACACAATATCTCTGAACCTAAGTTCACACATTTATAACACAAGTATACTGGTATAAAATTATCTCAAAGAAGACCAATAATACTAGCTTGCTATGTTATAATATGATAATTATATCTTTCTTAGATTTAATGTGCAAATACTATAACAATAAAATTAACTCAGAATGATTAAATTCAGAACCATAATTCCGGATGTTAAAAACAGGTAAGCCCGCTTGACAGCAATATTCAATTAAATATCAGCTTTTAGACTATACTTTTGTATCATATATTAATATAATAACCTTACAGTGATTTAATTTTATTCTTGCAATTTACACGACAGTATATGAAATAAATAGTTGTAATTTTATATTCTAAATCTGAAAAGCCAAATCAAAATATTCTACATGATTTATGTCATTATAAGTTAACATTTTAAACACAAATTGCATATGTGTTTAACTCACACTTACCCATGAAATTGAGATAGCCTTCTCCACCAAGCCCATGCGTAATGAGTCGAATCATTTTATGAAGCTGTATTCCACGATCAATAACTGGAGTAAAAGGAGTCAGGACACTCATGTTTGTATACATTTCGGCATCCATCAACCAAAATGCCAGCGACTTATCCCCAACCAATGCCTACAGAAATAAAAGTAATGGAGATAAATGAAAAAAAAAAGTGCTAAGTAGTTGTGATTTACAATAGAACAATGCATGGTTACAAATGTTAGGAAACATCGTAGAAGAGGTGTGTAGATTAATATTAATTTCAGGTATTTTCCACTGGTGATTTTCTAGGCTCAAGGCAAGCTGGTAAAATATGTTAGACTTCAACACATTTGTTTTCAGGACTGGACTGATTTTTATTTTTAAAATAGGTTGGTGAAAGATTCATGATAAGGTACCTGAATATCTGTTATATGTGAGCTGACACCTCACATTTTCTGAAACATTTATTATAATGTTGAGAATATTAAATAGATTTTTAAAATAGATTGTATATAATGATTTTATTTGCTTTGAAAGAAGTTTCTGAAAAATCATTGATATATAATATATATATATTATTTTGCTCATATATATGAGTAATATAATATGTGTATAAATATATCACAATAGTTCCTTCCTGCCCTCAGCAGAGAAAATAAGTTGAGAACATTTATTTAAGTGTAAATTTGCTTTCTCATTGTATTTGCCATTTAATCTAAATTTAGTTTGTTTTACCTGAAAATATAATAATTATTAACTGAGGCAGGTAACTCAGAAATGCCCTGAGTAACAGCAGAGAGACCTCCTAAAAATCTGAATTATTTACAGTTCAAAACAGCTAATGCAGTGTTCATCATGGACAAAACAATAACATAGAGTAAAATGTAAAATAGAAATTAATCCATAATCTCAGTACCCTATTACAATTCTTTTCATTTTCTAGAAAAGAAATTTGTTTACAATCTTTTCTATCTTTAACCTACTTTAATTAAAATGATCTTTCTTTAAAAATTGTTATAGGATTTATATCATTACTTCTTAAACAACTCACCTTCTCTACTTGTTTTGAATTCTTTAATTATGTTTTTAGCTATAATTATTTATTTCTACAATCTCTGATTCTATTATAAAATTATTTTAATAACTTTGGATCAGGTTCATAGATAAAGCTTATTCTCATACCAAGTTGCCCTCTTATAAAATCCTGTTGAGATACTGGTGAAATTAAGTTAAGTTTACAAATTTAATTGTTAAGGATTTATCTAAAAAGTTTAAAATAACATCCACATTTTTACTATAAATTATATGTTTATTTATTCATTTTTATGTATTCATATACATTTATATTTTTTATCAGGCTTAAGAATCAAAGTACATTTGCTTTTAGAAAGAACTAGGCAACTTGCATTATTTCTGCTATCCTGAGAATTCCTGAATATATAAGATAGGATTGCCTGAATTTTTAAAGTATGAAATAATTCTTGGTAAATCTTTTTCTTTACAGATTAGGTAGAAATTTACGTAAGAAATCTATCTTTTTCATCTTCCATTTGTTCATGCCACTTATTTGTTTACTCTTTCATTCATATAAAATAAACATATGCTGGGAATTCACTATGTGCTGCAACTTCAAGGAGTTTGCAATAGAAAGCTATAATTTATGCATATATTTTAATTTCCAAATTGTTATGTATTTGGTAAGAGTTTCCCCCTCCCCACCCCCACCACTCACCTATTAAACAAATATTATTCTTTTCTAGATTGGGTTCTTCTTTTTTAGATAAGTATTTATCTTATCTGCTCTACAGACAAGGATAATGTAAATTGAAGTTGATAAGAAAGCACAGCCCCAATTTGGAAGATGCAAAATTTAACATGAGTTTACTTCAGAGGTCATCAAGTTTCTCTAAGGGTGGGCCACTTTCTCTGTCTCAGCTACTCAAATGCATCATTTTGGCACAAAGGAGAATACGTAAACAAATCAGCATGGCTGTGTTCCAAGTAACCTTATTTACAAAAACAGGCAGCAGGTAGGATTTGGCCCATGGGCCTTGATTACCCAACCCCTGCTTTACTTACATTTTCTTAACAATTAGAGGAGACACCTGAAAAAATCATGTTTGCGTTAAATGGCCAATTTCTGCAAAAATGATAGAGAAACTTATTTAGTTTCAATTTTTTAATAAAGATACTTTAAGTAACTTCAAACATTTTATTGTCTACATTTTAATCTACAAAAAGTAAATTTTATGTTGATGTGTATGAGGATTAATATGACCTTAAATAAGTGACCTTTTTTCTCCATTTTAAAAATATTTATTAAGTGATTACTAGGATCAGTCACAGTGCTAAAGGCTGGAAATAGAAAGACAATGAAAAAAAAATTCTGTTCCTAAAACATAATGGAAACTTGGAGGATGGGACAACTAATTTTTCCCTACATGACCCAAGGAAGGCTTTATATAGAATGTGTCAGAGCCAGACAATTAGGTCTGAGTAGGAACTTCCCAGATGCAGATGCGTGGGGAAAAGCACAAGATTGGAAAAAGCTGACCTATTTGGAATGGGTAGGGATTTCAAAGTATTGAAGAACAGGAGGCTTGGAGAGTTGGGCAGAGAATAATGCTGGAAACCGGCTTGAGCCAAAATAGGAGTGGCTTTGAATTACAGGCTTCGACCAGTATATCTGGGTTGACAAGACGAGCTTTCCTCTTTAGAAAATAACTTAGGCTGTATTCGAGAAGACAGACTAAGGCTGGATGGAACAGGGGTCAGGGAGGTCAATTAGCAGGAGATTTCAGTGACTGAGGGGAAAAACTGAAGAATGCTTGTCAAAAGCATAAAAGAATACCTCTAGAAGGCAGCCTAAGACGGAAACTAAAATAAACCTGGTCCAGCACCAATTTTCTTCATTATGACAAGGGAAAACATATAATACTTGCAACTGCAATGTATAATCTATTAATTATAGTTTGGCAGGACAAACATACTACTGCATTTTGAAACTGGAGTTTCTCCATCTACAAATTTAACATTTTTTCCAATATACGTAGTTTTCCTGTAAAGATATATATTAATACACACACACACATACACACATTATAGTAACTACAGAGGTTTATATTTCGATATGTTTATATTTAAATATGTTATTAAGGAGAGGGAAGGAGGAAGAGAGAGAGAGAGAAATAAATGAATTTATGCACATATTCATTTACCTGATCATGGCTCTCTGCATAAGCAATGCACTTTTCAAGGTAGCGCCTGTTTGTGAGCGTGTATACTATATCGCCCATGTTCCAGTCTTCATCTTTAAACTCTTTAAGTAGCTAGACACAAGAGAGAAAAATAAGCTTCTGAGTAAAGCATTATTTTTCTTATTTTTAAATCACAATCTGAAGTTATGCATTATATCAGTGCAAACTATTTGATAAGCACATATTAGTCCACCCATATAGCAAAGTTATCACTGTTTAAACTTTTACTGAAATCACAGCTTTTATACAGAATGTCCAAATGACAGTGGTGTAGAGTGTGTTTGTGTGTGTGTGTGTGGTGTTTGCTTTTGTGCAGACAGTTTAATCATTATATTTTAGGATCTTTGCAACTATTTTTCTGTAATAACTGCCACCTCTTGATTAATGCCCACAGTAATGTTATTGCACGGCATGTCTTCCTATAACTTGTACATGGTAGAGATACACTTGTTATATTTATTTGTTTATATGAAAAAAATTAGTAAAAAGAGTGTTTCGCTTCATTTTTACAAAGTGATAAAACAACTGTTTCAAAATTTAAAGTTAATTATCATCAAATAATTACCCTCTTAACAGACCACACATTTTGTGTCTGCATTTCAATTTCTAGTCGGTGTTCAGTCTGGCTCTGTCCCTCTAACACTATACTTTTATGCAACTGAACTTGCTGAGGTTAAGCTTGTGGTGTGAGCTTAAGTTAGTAATTGCTCTCCCTTAAGTAGATACTTGCTATACATATTGACACTGCTGATCCTATCTCCTGCCCCTGAACTTTTCCCTTTATTAATCTACCACTGTGAAACTCTTGCTTTATATTGTTTTGTTTCTTCCCGCCACTCCCGACATACTATAAATTCTCTTCCTCTGTTTGTCCTATAAAGGCTGGTGTTCCTCAGGATTATGTCCTAAATTTACTCTCCCTCTTTAATTCAACACACTGTCATACAATTATGAGAACATAAGCAGTTCTGATCATTGCAGTGCGAATCTTTGGGCACCAGAGGGCAGAACGTGGAAGGCAGAAGAGCAACCATCCATAGATGTTCACAACCTAATCCACGAGCATCTTTCTAAAAAGCAGGCATGAGTGTCAAAATAAGAGAAAGATTTGAAGATGCTATACTGCTGCTTTGAGGATAGAGGAAGGAGCAATGAGCCAAGGAATATAGGCAGCTTTTAGAAGTGAGAAAAGGCAAGGAAATGGCTTCTCCCTTACAGCCTCCAGAAGAAATGCAGCCCTGTTTACACTTTGATTTTAGTCCCAGTAAAACCCATTTCATTTTTGTAACACATAGAACTGTTGTGAATTTGTGCTGTTTAAGCCACTAAGCTTGTGGTAAATTGGATATGGGAATAATAGGAAACTAATGTATAGACCTACACAAATGGGCCAGACTAATTTTTGATAAAAGGGCAACAGAAATTCAATGGAAGGTGGGCGGATGTTTCAACAAATGATGCTTAAAGAATTGGATACCCATGGGTAAAAAGAGAACGATAAAGAACCTTGAGCTAAGTCTTATATATTGCACAGAACTTAACTCAAAATGGATCATGGGCTTAAATATAAAAAATAAAAACTATAAAACATTTAGTAAAAACCATAAGAGAGTCAAAAATTTCTTAAACTTGATACCAAAAGAGAGACCTATACAAGGGAAAAAATGATAAACTAGCTTCATCAAAATTTTTAAAAAATTGCTCTGTGAAAAGCCAATGTGAAGAGGATGAAAGAACAAGCATCAGACTAGGAGAAAAAAATTGTCAACCATGTATCCGGCAAAGAAGTTGAATCTAAAATATATAAAGAACCCTCAAAACTCCACAGTAAATAAACAATGCAATCAAGAAATGGTTAAAAGATATGAACAGATACCTCACCAAAGAGGATATGCAGGAGGCAAATAAGCACATGTTTGGTATCCAGCATCATAAACCATTTGAAAAATAATAAAACCACAATGAGATGTCACTACACACTGATTATAATAGCTAAAATAAAACATAGTGACAACACCAAATGCTGGTGAGGATGTATAGAGGCAGGTCTCTCAAACATCACTAGTCAGAATGTAAAATGTTACAGCTACTTTGGAAAACAGTTTAGCAGTTTCTTAAAAAATTAAACAGGGAATTACTGTATGGTTCAGTAATTGTAGTGTTTGAGCATTTATCTCATAGTTATGAAAACTTATGTTGATAAAAAATGAGTACACACATGTATACAGTAACTTTATTCATAATAGCCATAAGCTGGAAGCAACCTGGATGTTTTTCAATGGGTGAATGGTTAAACTGTGGTATACCCCTGCCTTGGAATCCTATTCAGTGCTGTTGAATGCGCTGTTGATATATGCAACAAGAATGCTGGATATAACAACATTGGAGGTTTTCTTGGATAAATCTCGAGAAAATTTTGCTAACTGAAAATGCCAATCCAGAAAGGTCACAAACTGCATGATTCCATTTATATAATATTTTTGAAATGACGAAATTATAGGAATGGAGATCTCATTCGTGGTTGCCAGCGGTTAAGGCATTATTAGAAGCAAGCAAGATGAAAATAAGTAGGCGTTACTCTAAAGGCAACATGAGGGAATCTTGTGGCAATGAACGTGTTTTGCACCTTGAGTATATCAATGTGAGTATCTTGGTTAAAAGATTGTTCTATACCTTTGCAAGAAGCTACCACTGGGGAAAACTGATGAATGAGCATACCAGATCTCACTGTATTATTTCTTACAGCTGCATGTGAATCTACAATTATCCTAATATCTCAAAAATGTTTAATTAGAAAAACTATATTTATTAAAAATACTAGGTGCTCAATAAATATTTGGTGGAATTAACAGATCAATGAATGAGTTCATTAGACACATACATTACCTTAACATAAACACTTCAAAAATGATCAAATAAAATGAAAGGAAATACAGCAAATTTGGCATAATTTAGATAGTCAAATATTTGTTCAGTAATTGATTAAACTAAGAATGATATTCAAAACTAATGATATTGAAATAATACAACTAGGAAATGATACATAATTTGCTTTTGAACAACAAAAACATGAATAAAATCTAGCATTCTAATTTAACTCATACTGTATGGGTAGACAACATCACAGGCCATATACATTCTGAGTACAGTTGTCATCTGATTTAATAACTCTTGTGTGTTTTATTGACATATAGGGAGAATGGGAGCCACTTATTGAATTGTTTTTAAATGCACCAGTTACAAAAGTAGAGGAAAATCACTATGTCTAAGGGTTTTATTGTAATACTATTTTAACTTTAGTTTTATTAACTAAGGGGGGACCCAGTTTGGTGATACAATAAGAATTTTAAATAATTACATAAAATAGAAGATGATAACTGCTTTCAGAGAATTTACAATCTAAAACAGGATGGTCATATCCTAAATTTAGGATAAAATATTTTTCTATTTGATAACTATGATTATTATAGTTATCATGTATAATAAGTAAGTATGATACATTGCCTAATGCATTACCTTCATCATACAATGTAATAAAATGTTTATTAGGTTAAATTTCAATTTTTTAAGCTGCCATGAATACTCAGAGAGAAAATACCTCACTTTGTGCTATTACTGACTGAAAAATAATTCTAGGTTGACGTACACCTTAAAACATTATTGAATGTGAACAAAGAATGATTAAGGCTTTTAGCAGGAGGTTAAAAAGTAAGATTTGTCACTTGTGAGGGAAAAAAGTCTACATGAAAAAACTAGAAATAGTAAGAGATGGGGCTGATGAGGAACCTTATACCAAGGTGAGAAAATTGAAAACTACAGCATTTTTTTTAAAGTAACAAATACAAGGCTACGTTCCCATGTATTAAAGGAGAATATTCCTTTGTTTTTATGTTTTCTAAGTAAAAATCTTTATAAAATACTTGCTTTTTGACCTGATAATGTTTAAGGAATTATTATAAATGTAGAAGCAGAAGTTATGTTGGTCCAAGTTTAATGTCACAGCTATGCATTGCACAAATTGCCCAGGGGGACAGGAAAGACAGCTAAGAAATGATTATAGTAACCACTTCCTTAAGAGTAGGCGCTACAGTTTTTCTACCCAAAATTAAGCCCTTCTACAACTGTGGTCTCATGGCACCAGTTCATGTCTGAAATAAAGGGCTCATCAGAAAGCTATGATTATTTGTATATATATCTGACTCCTTATATATATTCAGCCCATGAATGTCGACATGGCTGCAAAGAAATGTTCTATATCAAACCTAAGTCTACATAATGACTTTAGTCCTTTAGGCAAACATTAAATGAAAAAAAAACAAAAAACACCAAACTACTTGAACTGTCATTAAAGTTAATAAAATTTTATTGATAAATGATGTGCAAAGTACCATGTACAGTTATTCATTCCTAGTGTCTGACAAATGGTAAGGACTTTTTAATGTTGAATAAAGGAATGGATGAATCCAATCCAAATTTGTTGAGGAAAAACCATACTATTAAGCAAGTACTGGGAATTAAGGAGTAACTTTTACATTAATGCATGATCTGTAGGCATAAATGAATGCTGTAATGAAGTCTAATATGTATTAAATATAGAGCACTGAAGTTTCATATAATTGCATTGATAATGCAAAATTCCATTTATACAGCTAACATGATATTAATCATATTTTCCCTTTGCCTGAATACGTATGAATACTTTAAATCAGAACTTTTAATATTTTGAGAAGCACCTTATTAAAAAGCATAAGAATCGACAGACTAATGAAAGAATTTAATACTTCAATTATAATATCTGTAACTAATGATTACAACTAAGAAATAAATTAAAGATAAATGAAGCAACACAGTATTCACAGAAACAAAAAATATTTACATGGACTCTTACCTGAATCCACTTATCTGGAATTGCCATGGCTAGTCGATAGTCAAAACCACCCCCTCCCTGGGAAATTGGAGAGCACAGAGCTGGCATTCCTGATACATCCTACAACAAAGAACGTCGGTTCATAATGATCAAACTTTTAGTAAATATTCTGACTGTAAAGCCCAGGTCAATAAATGAAAACAATAATAGGGGAATATATTTTTGGGCTGCTTTGGTAACATAAAAGTCGATAAAATTGTGATAGCATATCTCATTTCCCAGAAAGATTTTTGCTTAATGTTTTCACTCCAGGCAAACTTTGATCTCATGAAGCTATTTATTTCTTTTCTTCAGTATCTCCTAGAGAACACAAAATAGCAAAACTGTTATTGCTAAAACATAGTTTCTTATTTTTGAACTACTGTAAAACATTTTTTATTAGTTTTGTTGCTTTCACCAAGCACAACAATACATGTGGCATAAATCTGTTATAGTTGTTCTTTCTGTATGTAGCCCTGATAGGGAGTGTATTTTTGTGAACACTAGCTTTTGATGAAATGGAATGTAGAGTTAGTACATTAACAGTGAAACAGTACAATAGCTTTTACTAGAGTAGGTTACACTTAGAAGGGGTTTTTGAGATTAGGTAGGGATTATCTTCATTTAGCAGATATAGAAACAGAGGTTTATTGAGGTGAAGGGATCTCTCAAGATAGAGAATTTTTTTTTTTTTTTGACACAGAGTTTCACCCTTGTTGCCCAGGCTGGTTTACAGTGGCATGATATCAGCTCACTGCAACCTCTGCCTCCCAGGTTCAAGCAATTCTCCTGCCTCAGCCTCCCGAATAGCTGGGATTACAGATGTCCACCACCATTCTCAGCTAATATTTTTTATATTTTTGATAGAGATGGGGTTTCATCATGTTGGCCAGGCTGTTCTCGAACTCCTGACCGTTCGAGACGGGAGTCCGAACTCCCATCTCGGCCTCCCAAAGTGCTGCGACAACAGGCACAAGCCACCACACCCAGTCGAGAGAGAGGATTCTTAATGGTAGAGCCGGATTCAGATATCAAGCTTTTTGACAGGGGGTCCTTTCTACTCTAGACAATAAGTATCCAATAATTAATCAAATAAATAAAAGTAATTTAAAAATGGGTTTCAAAGATAGGTACAGGGACCCAGATGTAACAAAAGATATTAAGACAACTTTAGGAAAATATGTGCTAAGTATTATCAATTCTAATTCCACAATATCTTTCAAATAAGTTACTTTCCTTTGCTCCATTACCACAACCACAATCTTATTTAATCTTCATTACTGCTTGCCTAGACCATATCCAAATGGCATTCCCCATCTCTACCTTCTCTTTATACTAACTGCTGCCAAATTCATATCTTATGAGACAGTCCGCTCCTATTACTGCCCTTCAATGGATTTCAATAGCCAACAATAGAAAATTCAAATTCCTTAGCTTAAGATTCGATTCAACAATTACACATTAAGCATTTACTATATGATTTACTATCCAATTAGCTACTCCCCTACTCCCTGTTATAGTGTAAGATCCATGAGGGCAAGAGTTTATAGTTGTTGTTCACCGATATACCCTAAGAATCTAGACTAGTTTAATAATACTTGGCACAAGCAGGTTATTCAGTATCTGTTGAGTGAATGAGTGAGGTGCTCTGAGGGATTAAAAGATAAGACATAATATCTGACTTTCAAAGATTAATAAACTAGGACCTAAATACACACAAACATAATTATGAAATGACCATGTGATGTAGTTGTGATCATTAACTAAAGTGCACAGAAAGTGAAATGGAAAGACATCTTTCCACCATTATTTCCTACTATTTCATTTTAATTACTAAGTACTTCGGCCACTTTGAAATATTCCCTCTTGCATGTACTTGTTACGAGCTTTTCTGCATCTGTCAATGCCCAAAGTCTTCCTTAGATTATGACCCTTACTTCCTATAAAAGACTATCACATACCATAGGCTCTCTAAGACTCAGGTCAAATGCTTCTTTTTTTTTTTTTCTTATGGAAGGAAGGTATAAGTAAATATATTATATGGTAGAATACATCCATAAGAAAATAAAATGTTTGCCAGTAATCTTATTTCTGCATAGTTCTTCATGGTTTATAAAGTAGAAAAAAGATCAGTAGAAAAGAAGCCATTTCAATCATTCTATTTATCAAAATATAAGTCATATTTCCACAGACAGGATTGGATAAATATGCATTAAATATCAGGCACCATATTAGGAACTAGAATTACAGACACAATGCCTTCTGAAAAGAGTTTTGAAAGACCAAACTGTCAAGAATGACTGGTGATGGACTGGTATTAAAGATCAAGATGAATTTTCTCAAGAAAATATTAAGGCATGTTCTGTATCCAGTCCCAATGTTGTTTTAGGAAATAGAATCTGCTAAGAAAAACATATGGTAATCATGAAACCCAAACATCCCATAGACATATTTTTTTGGATAAACATAGAATTGAATCCTTTTGAAAAGCTTGAAACCTACATTTGTCCCTCAAGTCTTCTCAAAAAAAAGTATCAAAGAACTGAAGCTCACCAAATCATGGCATGCAATGAGATGCCAGACCGGTCATTCCTCATGATTGCTTCCTTACCCCTCTCTAGTTCTGTTTTCTTACACATTGTTACATTTATTTCTTACTATATAAACCTCTAATTTTAGTTGGTAAGAGAGATGGATTTGAGACTGATCAAAGCCTTCTTCTACGGCAATAATCATTGTCTCCGTGATTGGCTTTCTGTGCAGCAAGCAGCAGGACCTAGACTAAACCCCTGGTGATTTGGTAACAATCATATAGTCTTGACTCCTAAATCTGACTTCTAGAAAGTTGCCTCATTAATGCATATGAGTTGTTTCAGCCCTCCTTTTGAAGGTGGAAAGTTTGTGACTGTTCTTTTAAAATTTTTAAGAAAAAAAAGGTAAATCATAAAGGTCATCAAAATAAACATACTCTAAATATAAAACAATTGATGCCTATTCATATGGCATATGAAAATGATTCTGTGTTTGGGATGAAATTAAAATAGTTCTAATTTTTTACTATCTAAAGAGCACTTATAACCATTCCAGAGGGAAAGATACATCAATCAAAAATGTTTTAATTAATATAGCAAATATAATAATGTAAAATGGTAGATAAACTTGAGCAAAATAAGGTTGCAATTTTTGTAATTGTCATTATAAATAAATTCATATTTCTACTAAAGGAATTTAAATAAAATTACATTGCTTATTCGTTCAAATACATTCCTTTTCTTAAAAAAAAAAAAGTTCATGGGGATCAATTCTACATTTGGAAGAGACTCCCGCTAGACAGAAAAGTGACGTATTGAAATTGAAGTAGTTTTCAATTTAAGTGGAATAAATTGAAGGCACATCTTTTTTTAAAAAAAAAAAAAATCTAAAACCAAGTAATATAAAGTAGGCTAAAGTCTCAAAGTTTCATTGGTAGAAACACTGATAATCAGACCAGAGCTCCCTAGATGATGAAACTATTTTACTTGAAATGAATGGAAAGATCAATGTAACAATTTTAACTTTCATGTATTAAATCATTGCTTCTTTTTCTTCAGTACTCACTTTTGATTTGTGCTGTCATTAATTGTTTGTAGTAATTTGTCATTTGTAATATCTCTGCTTTGGATTGCCATAAATATCATTGACAAAATAATTAATTTTTTGATGTTTGACATATAAAATTCAAATATACATAAGGCAAAAGTTTAAAATACACTCTGATTGATGTTAAAGATATTCAGCACAAAAAATATTAGCACAAGTATTAGTAAGATGTGCTATGATCAAACGTAGGTAGGTCATGACTGTGAAAAAATACTGGGTGTCTAAATTGTATGGTAGGTTGTTTGTTTTTTAATTGTATATAAGAACGAATTTCAGGAATTTAGGGCTACTGCTTTATTCCCAGAAAATACTTAAAAAGTAAAATGCCTGAAGGGAATAAAACTATTCTCCTCTATCCAAGCGGTGAAATCATACCATTTATAAAATTGGAGATTTCTGATTTTGAGAAATGGTGGATATAAAAACAGTCTATACAAAAAATAAATACTACAGGAAGGAGACTATTCCATTTCATGCCAATAAGCTAAACACCAACAATGTAAAAACACACCTTAATTCTAACTATTTTTAACAGTAGTCTTACTATTTTTATATCTCAACCACTATACTTTGTATAGAACAGTTTTAACATGCTAAATTCAATTTTAATAATAATTCCTAGTTAGAGAACTTAGAAAACCAGAGGGATTTTAGCACTAAATCTAAATTAGCATAAGCATTTAACAAACTTCTTAATTTATCACATTTATCACCAAGAGGGGAATTGTCAATTATGCATATATGGAATTATATCATTACAGTGCAGCTTTGGGACAGTTAATCATGAACCTTCAACAATCATGAATAACTAGTGAACATTTGGCAATCTGAGAGCAATAACATAAACAAGAAAGGTAATCACATCAGAACAAGAAAGGCTTCAGAGAAGCTTGCAGGCAGCAATCCATCCTATCTTTAATGATTGAGCCAAAAAAGAAAAAAATAATAATAAATGGACAGACACACATTAATATTCAATTCTTTTCTCTGCTGAAGGTCTCATAGCGAAGGGCCTGTCCACTGATTAGGACATTTAACTCTCCAACCACTGGC
Organism: Homo sapiens; assembly: GCF_000001405.40. Classification (NCBI taxonomy): domain Eukaryota; kingdom Metazoa; phylum Chordata; class Mammalia; order Primates; family Hominidae; genus Homo; species Homo sapiens. The sequence goes on from NC_000003.12 coordinate 81,590,802, forward strand.
ATTTTCTTTTTTAACAACAGAATGGTGACAAGTAATTAGTATACATTATCTTCTAATAGGGAAACAGTGAATTCTAAATAATGTGCCACCCATACAAGATAGCTGCACTATACTCAGGGTAGAATTTCATTTACGCAATTATTGACAACATGAGATTGATTAATCAAATACTGTATGCTGACAAAATACTCTCTATTAAAGGGGGTCAGAAGGTAAGACTTCACTATGGCTTTACCTCAGCTATTGTTATAGAATCGGGACACAGCGTGTGAACCAAATGATTTGCCAACATGAGGTAAGTCAAGGCATCTTCATCTACTTGTAGTCCGAAATATTCACTGTAATCACCTGAGAAACCTTGACCTTAGAAAAAGAAAATCAATACGGATATATTATGTTAACAAGCAAGTCTTAACTCTGCACAAATACATTCACCAATTAGTTTGTTTATATGAATTTTGTTATTGTAGCAGTTTAATAACATAAGCATCAGCAAATATACTGACTTAGAAAAGTACTACATGTCAACATTCAGAGTTCAGACAATTCTGCAAATCAATTTTGTTTGACAAATGCACACGCATGAGAAAAACAAAGCACTTTAAAGATTTAATTTAATTTTAGCTAAATTATATGGCAAAAAGTGAAATCATACTAAAGGGAATTCTAAATATCAAATAATTGTCAATACATTTTCTGTCACATTAAGATGTTAATGTTAGTTTGTATTAGATCCCTCTGAGGTAAGGAAAAGAAAATAGGAAAACCATCATAAAACTGAGACATAATATTTATATATTATTTCAAACACACACTTCAATTTATGCAATATGGAGTTCCCTATGATAAAGAGATTATATATTCTCAAACTTCCTCCTACCTCCTCTTCTCTCACATCCTAACTTTGGTTGGTTATAGTATATTTCACTTACTTGGGTTATACCATTTACTTTCTATTCTTTCAGTAATTTACTCTTATTGTTATAATAAAATCAAATTTGTGCTCAATATCAGCCTTTTACCATTTCTCTACATCTAAGTTCTATTGATTTTTTTTTCTCAGTTTGCTGGATTCTATCACTGAGGGATATTTTCAAGTATAATTATGGAAGTCTTATACTTCAAGTTCTTTCATGTTTATATTTCAGCAGCAATATAACTACCAAGTTTCTCATTTTTGATGCTGTCGTTCTTTAATTTTAAAATATTTAATTGACAAATAAAAATTGCATATATTCAAGGTTTCCAAGGTACTGATTTGATATTGGCATACATTGTGTACTGATTACTATACTCAAATTGACACAACTGTCACCACCCATAGTTACCACATGTGTATGTGTGTGTGCGCGCGTGTGTGTGTGTTTAGGATACTTAAAGTTGGCTCTCATCAAATACCAAGTAATATTATTAACTATAGTTACATTAGATTCCGCCTAGCTTATGCACCTTAAAACAAAAGTGCGCCCTTTGACCAACATCTCTCCATTTCCTCCACTCCTCAGCCCCTGGCAACCATCATTCAACTAGCAAATGTTTGAGTCACACTTTGTAAGAATTTGGCAGACATTGCTTCTGTAAATAGAATACTATGAGTCCAACCATTTTTTTTTCATGCATGCAAGTAAATTGCAGGTAAATTCATGACCTCCTGATAAATTTCCCTTTATTACTGAGTTTATAAATCAAATACTGTGTCTTGATATTAACTGCCTTAAATCTCAACTTTTCTGGTATTCTATTTGATCTTCTGCTGTGCGGTTTCAGGGATTTTGTTTGTTGCTTTCTCTGTCATTCCAAGGAAGAAAAAAATGTTAAACAACTCAGAATGTTTTTCTTTAACCATTTCTTGGATTCTGTATCTATAAAAAGCACATCCCATATCCATAAACTTTGGTTCATTTCTCTAATACCACAAATTCTTGGAAGATACTCCTCTCTCGGTGAGGTAGTTTCTGCAGGGGCACGTAGGTGTTTAAATCTAGGAAAAGATTTTTCTTAACTTTTGCCTTTGCATACCGTAAGTCAGCTTCCCCGAAACTGGAAAATGGATATCAATAAAATCTGTTGTGTTTTACAGATTCAACTTCTTTCCCAGGAACATTTCAAGTGGGCAGCATCATGAGTAAGATCAAGCAGTAGCACACTTTGAATGTTTAGCTTCTTTCCTTGGCAGTCACTTTTCAAGATTTACAGTCACGTTTTTCACCCCCTTTGTTTTTTTCTTTTTTTCTGTTTATTGCTAGTGAACATTTGGCCATTAAAAAATAATAATAATTGGCTGGGTGTGGTGGCTCACTCCTGCAATCCCAGCACTTTGGGAGGCCAAGGCGGGCAGATCACCTGAGGTCAGGAGTTTGAGACCAACCTAGCCAACAGGGTGAAACCCCGTCTCTATTAAAAAAATACAAAAATTAGCCAGGTGTGATGATGGGCACCTGTAATCCCAGCTACTCGGGAGGCTGAGGCAGGAGAATTGCTTGAACCCAAGAGATGGAGTTTGCAGTGATCTGAGTTCACACCACTGCGCTCCAGCCTGGGCAACAGAACAAGACTCTGTCTCAAGAACAATAATAATAATAATAATAATAATAATAATTGTTCCCATGTCATCTATTGAGGGATTAGTATTCTGTGATTCTACTTCTTTGTACAACTTTTAAGCTGAGAGTCTGATAAATATTTTTAATTTCAAATTAATTTATAATTTAATTTTAACCAGGTAAATCTGCAATTAAAATACATATTTTATTCAATGTGTAATATGTAAAAACCTATGCATTCACAACTGTTCTCATCTATTATTTTTTATTTTCATTGGAAGTGCTGTAGTGTTCACATCCTGAGAGTGTTACAATAAATGGTTTCCTCAAAAAAATTTTAAGCTACACACGAATTATAGCATATTCAGCAGATATATTTCAAAGGAAATGATTACCTTTTGTTTACTTATAAAATGTACTTATAATCTACCTTTTGCCAAAATGGGATAATAAATTACTACAGAGAAAGCATATGTAATGGAACTAATAAAAACCAAGACACCAGTAATGGCTATTGCAGCTTCTGCAATTAACCCCAAACCTGATTATATCAGGTTACCTACCCACTCCATGGTGATGATAAAGCATGGACGTAACACCATCAAAACGAAATCCATCAAAGCGATATTCTTCCAACCACCATCTTATGTTTGACAGAAGGAATCTTAAAATTTCCCAGCTAAAATATAAGAGAAATATGTATTTAAGCAAAATGTGAAGAGCATTTTCCTTAACTGTTATAAATGTTTGCTATTAACTAAAATTATAGGGCTCTATCTCAAGAATCATAATGTTCAAGAAACATAACATATATAAAAGTCACAAAACTAACAAGAATCTCAGTTGGTTGATGAAACTCATTCTAAAAGGAAAATTATTAATTTTTATAGTCCACAAAGTCACTTAATATCTAAGAAAATTTAGGGAAAACATTTTTTAACATGAATTCCAAAACCAGAGACCCTGCCTTATTCAATGCTGTGTTCTCAGCAACCGGAAAAGTGATTACTACATAGTAGTGCTCGAAAAAAGCAAAGGAATAAAATCTATTACCAGTCCCTGAATTTTTAAAAAGGATTTTCATGTAATATAACCATAATTATGTGATTTTTCTCCTTTCAGAAAATGCATTTTCATTATCAGTAGAAAAAGTACTTTCAATGACTTTTTGTTTAAAATATTTCCTCATGCTACAATTTCAAATAGATATGATTCAGAATAAAAAGTAAAAGATAAAAACAGAAAATCAACCACATGGTAAGCAATATTACATTGACTAGACTGTTGTTTCGTGAAGGTAAAAAAAGAAAACCTAATTACCAAAAACCACATGTGTAATAAAGTACAAAGTTTTATGAGTTTAAGAGTCCTACATCCATAAAAAGAGAGGGAAAACAAAGAAACTGTGTAACTCAATTAAAAACACCACACGAAACAAGTCTGTTTTGGACAGTTGAAATAAAGGCATCATCAATTAGTATTTTCTTTAGTCATATAGTTATGGTTGAGTTCTCTATCTTATTATAACTGTGGTTTTAAGACTTTAATACCTCATTTAGTTTAATGACAAAGCTCCGTAATAGTGTACACAAATCTTTACCCCAGTCGAAATTCATGTATTTTTAAAACCTTCCATATATTAAAGAATAATCTGACATAAATGAAGATTAAGTCATCAAAATTAACTTCAGAATTGTAAATCCAAACTTTGGGGAAAGATGAGTGTTGTTAGTAATTAACTGTTTTAAATAAGTTACTTTGAGTTTCGAAAATTTACTAAGTTAAAAAAAAAAAAAAGAAAAGAAATCCAAGCAATCTAATAGATATAAAAGGGAGACAGGAGGTTCAAGATTTTAAGGTTAAGCAACCTTGAAGGTAGTATTTGCTTATGATTCTATAATTCCATGTTCATACGGTTTAAGGGGGAAATCCTGTTTAACAGAAGAAATGAATAGAAACAAGGAGATATAATAGAACTGTATAAAATCAAAATCACTCTATTTTGCATAGGAATTTTCATTACCATATTGTTTATAGTTTTCTTATAATTAATAAATTTTATTTTTCAGAGTTTTAGATTCACAGAAAAATTGAAAGGAAGATACAGAGAGTTCCCTGTCCCCAAGCATATATCGATATTTTGTAACAAGTTTGCTATATGAGAATTTCAGAAAGAAGACTTGAATAAAATTGCATACAAATAATCCTTTGAAATTAATTTTTTGAAAAGAATATACTCTTCTAAGTAAAGGGAAAGATAAGTGAATTATATTGCAATTCAGTGAAACACAGAAGAGGGAAAGGATGTGAACCTGATCACTGAATAGAAAGAATTGCCCAGTGTCACAGCAGGTTTCACTAAAGTCAAAGGTAATGCAAGTCCTGTTGATTCCTTTTACTACAATATTTAATCTATTCTACTCTTGACCAAAACAGGAAATAAACTGTGTTTAAAATATTAAAATAAAAAGACACATTTGGGAATAACTATGTTAGTAGACAGATTCTTAGCATGTATGAACAACAAAAAAATTCCTGTGATAATCAGAAAAGAAACAATAGTGACAATGGAGCACCTAATTAAAAAGTTCTCATGAGTTAGAAACTGTATTCTATTCTTCAGATCTCTGAAATACTCTTACACATTGTCTGAAAATCATAAAGTCTTTTAAAAACTACTACAAGATTAAAGTGATAAGTCAAATTTCTAGTGCTTTTAATTTCTTTTATATTTTATGAATCATTAATGAAACACAATAGACAAAATTTTATGAGAGTAAACTATGTAGGACAAAATAGTAAAGAATAAAAATTTAGAAATTTTATTTTTTAACCAAATATCAGGAAATGGATCTAGGAAAAAGCCAAATATAAAATTTAAAATTAGTAGCAGCAAGTGCAAAGCAAAAGTTAAAAGTATTAATTCTCTGGCTAAGTCAATTTTCTTTTTTTTTTATTATACTTTAAGTTTTAGGGTACATGTGCACAACGTGCAAGTTAGTTACATATGTATACATGCACCATGTTGGTGTGCTGCACCCAGTAACTCATCATTTAACATTAGGTATATCTCCAAATGCTATCTCTCCCCGCTAAGTCGATTTTCTAAAACTAGATTATTTGTATCAGTTATGCAAAAAATAACTAGTCTTATAAGGGTAACATTTTATAAATAACTAGCCTTTGTTGCATAAGAAAAAATGAATTGTCAGTTTCTAAGGATAGTAGTCTTAGTTATGCTATGTTAAATTTTCTGCACAAAAGCACAACCTTTTTGGATATAATTATAAAATACTTAGGACACATTACTGGAGAAAAAACTTCTTCCCTAATCATTTTGTGTCACAGATACCCAGACCTCAAAATCAAGTGGAAGATTCTCAAATATACATTAAAGATCCAAGTATGTAAGGACATCCAGCAGAGGTACCCTGTTCTGCACCCTACCCTCCAGCAGTCACATGGAGAATGAAAACAATAATCTCATACAGGAATGAACTAGATCACTGAATCTAAGATTTGTCTTTGAAATAGAGCAAGCTTAAAGAATACGTCACCAGTGAAAATACTGATTTCTGAAAGATGTTCAATATTATTTCTACTCTCATAATTTCCAAATTCAAAGCTCATAAATTCCATTTTTCCTTTTTTGGGGTGTTGAGAGAAAGAGGAGTTATGAATTATTCCAGATTGTGACTGAATTAGAAATATTGTTCAATGTTCTCTCTAGTAGTAAATGAACTGAATCACCTCAACTGAATGGTTTGCCTTGAGTCAGAGTATAACAATGTCTGGTAAAAAGTACAATAAAAAAGGCAATTTACTTTTTCTACCTCAAAATGGCATCAAACAGCCCATAACACAGTTGATATATCCAGTTGATTAGAATCTCATAAAAATATACAGCAGAATTTAAGACACAGTTTTATTTTGGTGCGTTCCAACAGACAAGCCAGGACTTAGATTACTCCATTGGCTTACAGCTTTTATAGCCTGTCTTTACAAACCACTTACTGTCCAGAAGCCTAATTTCTGAACAATTGGAGGAGCTAGATGCTAACTTTTAGATGGTGATGTCAAATATATATATATATCTCAAAAATATATATATATCTCAAATATATATATATATCTCAAAATATATATATATATATATATATATCTCATTGGTCACAATGAATGTGTTTAAGAAGTAGCCCATTTTAGCTCTTAGCTTTATATCTTAAAGTAATTAACACATATATTAGAAACTAGCACTGTGCTATTCACACTGTGCATAGTCAATTGATTAGCACACTCCCAATTTATTTTTTGGAGCAAAACAAAATCTGTAATATCCAGAAAAAAAATAATGAAATGCAGTTGACTTTCTTTTGAATCATAAACCACTAAAAAAATGTTTAAGTCAAAGGTGCCTAATATAGAAACTGAATACATCGATGGATAATACATACATTTAAGGATTTCTGGCAATCAAAACAATCATGATTCTAATTGGCTTAGATGTCTGAAATATTCAACCTGTAATCAAGTAATGAGGATTTATTAAGGAAATTTTGTCACACACAGATAATTCCAATATTAAGGTTTTTAGGAAATATCCCTAAAATCAAAAACTGTTGATTGTCTTACATTCTGCCAATAATCTTTATAATGAAACATAGACAAATTTTCTCAGTGAGCAACTATAATCAAATATAATGACATTTATTTAATGACATTACATTTTGTAATCCAAGCTTATTTGCCTAATGTTCTATTTATTTGTGGTCCAAAAATACCTCTGAGATTTTCAAAATTTGCAACTTAGTTCACTGGATGTTACTAAACCTACTAATATTGTATATTAATAAATAAGAGACATTACTAAGCAATGGCTAAATATCAAAAAAATATAAAGGAAAAAATGATGTTCCTCTTAGATATTCCATAGGCTTTTAGGCTGAATGGGTATTAAACAGTACATCATAAAACCACGAATCAAAAACCTCATGTTTTGATCTATGTATTTCAATCGAGGCAGTAGATTGTGAGGAAAAATGAGAAAGGTATAGAATGCCAAAAAAGTCTTAAATTATAATAAAAATGACATTTTTACAAAGGTATTCTAAAATGTCAATGTTTAATATAATAACAGGTAACATCAAACTACCTGGTTTATTTTTTAAAATTAAAAGAATTAATCAATTTTAATTAAATTAACCAACAATTAAAAATATTATGTTTTGCTCATAATTTGTATAAGTTACATTACAAACTCAGCCAATTGGAATTAAGAGAAAACTTGAAATGATTGAAAAGTAGTAATTCATATCTAGTAGTAGATAACAGTATCATCAATAATAAAGTGTATCTGGATTTTAGACACGAGAATTATATAGAGGCTATTGTATATATTAATTTCAAATACTGTTAAATAATGAGTAGCACAAAACTAGTGAGATAAATTGTTCATTCAACTACTAAAAATTTGTAATAATAGAAATTTCAGAATGTAGGTAATTATAAATTATGGTTTTGAAGTTTTCTTTTCAATATCACATAATTTTCTGGATTTTATTCTGTGCAACTTTATTTTATGTAAATTAATATATTGTTTAATCAGATTATATCCACTGAGCTCCAGTTATCTATATCCATTAACAAAATAAAGCATTTTCTTCCCATAAGGCCTAAATTGTACTTAGCATATTAAATACTTTATTAAAATTAACTCTATTTGTATTATATGTAATTCCAATCAGGTATTCTCTAGGAAATAAGTAGAAAAGGATGATATGGTGCTTTTAAGGCTAAATGATTCCAATTAGACTTTTACTAAAAAATAAAATACTTGAGAAATTTCCAAGTCATGTTCTTCTCTAATTTAACCTGCATTCTTAAAAATTGGTTATCTGCCACGTAAGATTCACAAAAGGCAAACCTGAAGTGTCTGTGACTGTGAGTGTATGTACATAAAGTGTGTGTGTGTGCTTGTGTGCGTGTGTGTGTGTGTAGGAATTGACAGTGGACAGCAGTGAGAACAAAAGTGAAGGCTATTAGTCGGATAGGATGGAAAAAGACAAGTGTAAAAGAAAAAATAACCCACTCTAATAGAGCACACCTATGTAAACTTAGATGGGAGAGCCTACTACTACACACCTAGGCTATATGGTATACAGCATATTGCTCCTAGGCTACAAACCTGTATAGCATGTTACTGTACTGAATACTGGAGGCAATTGTAATGCAAGGGTAAGTATTTGTATATCTAAACAGAAAAGGTACAGTAAAACACAGTATTATCATCTTATGAGATCACCATCTTATATGTGGTAGCTTGTTAAAATGTCATGTGGTACATGACTGTACATATATACAGACATAGGTATATACACACACACCCATGTTTTTCAAACAAGTTTAAAAAATTCTACCTTATCTATAAAATAAAGCTAATGACTAGTTCAAATCAAGTGGCAGTGACTTGAACATAGGTAATATACATCATGACAAATGTCATATTAATACCATAATTGGTAATCAGCTTTAAAGAGCTTATTTTAAAGGTAAAAGTTTGGAAACATTAACAATTCATATACTCCTTTTTCATTTTTCCCTTCTGATTTATTTCTAATAGATTAACTATCATATTTAGATAAGCGATTGGCTGGGTGCAGTGGCTCATGCCTGTAATCCCAGCACTTTGGGAGGCCAAGGCGGGTGGATCACGAGGTCAAGAGATCAAGATCATCCTGGCCAACATTGTGAAACCCCATATACAAAATTTATCTGGGCATGGTGGTGCATGCCTGTAGTCTCAGCTACTTGGGAGGCTGAGGCAGGAGAATTGCTTGAACCTGGGAGGTGGAGGTTGCAGTGAGCCGCGATTGTGCCAATGCACTCCAGCCTGGTGACAGAGTGAGACTCCGTCTCAAAAACAAATAAATAAATAAATAAATAAATGACTAAATAAGCTATTATAATAATTTTATGATTGAAAAAATACACCCCTCGATTTGATAATTTCCCATTATCTCACTTAAATTTATAATTATGTGTATGTATTTATTTACTTATATTTAGCCAGTTTTATTTTAAATGATGACTTGAGGCAACTTACAGAGATACATACATCTAAACAGTATCAGCCTCCCAAAGTGCTGGGATTATAGGCCTGAGCCATGGTGCTTGGCTCTAATCAGCATAAAAAATAAATTAGAATAAAGATCTTATACAAACATAAAGTATCTGGGAACTGATTTTTATTCCAGTCTGAAACAATTATTTTACAGACTACTGACTTTAAATATACTACAACAGGATTTTCCTTCACTATCACCTCAGAACAATATTTTAGGACAATATTCAAGGAAAACACTACTATAATGTATATAAAGATGCAGATATTTAGGATAATACTACAGAAGTTATTTTAAAGATGCAACAATGTACTTGGAGACCAAAAAATGGATAAGCATTTTAGAGAGGAGATGAACTGGGAAAAACTAGCTGTACAGCAATTGAGGTAGGGAAAGGTGAAAATATAGAGGCACCTAGTTCTTCAAAAAATGAATGGTGTGTGTGCACATGCATGCGTGTGTGTGTGTTCTAGGAGTGGGAAATCAAGGAAAATATATAGGGTCTGCTATTGATTATATTTAAATTTCGAACATCACTCATCAATGGTATTTGAATTTGCACTAGCTTTGCTAAATAATATATATGTTTCTAATTATATTTGGATACATTCCCACAAGCAAAAGGAGCTAGCTTTCAATGGGCTGACTGGAGTGGAGCAGAATAGAAAGGGGAAATGTGATATTATATAGAAAAGAAAAAGGAATTCAAAGTCATCAAGTGTCTACTAGCTTCCAGACTCCACCTGTTACACAGCCTCATTTAATAAGGCTGTGAAATGATATTTTATGGTTTGGGAAACTGAGGCTTAGAAAAGTTAAAAAACCATGTCCTGGATCACTCAGGTAATAGGTACAGGTGCAGCTCAACCTTCTGAATCTAAAAACCTCACCTCTTAACTGCAATTTTATACTCCACATTCAGCATGACTACATTAAAAATTATTTCTTGTTTTTGGCAATTGTCCTGGTACAACATCTTTTAAAACCCTGTAATTCCCACATATCTATAATTTTAATATGTGGTCATACTAGCTGTATTAATCTTCTCTAAGTTTCAGTTTTCCACAACGTAAAATGGAAGATAATTTCTGCACCCTCCTGAATGGGGATTAAATGGAATGGGTATAACGTGATGGCAGTGCTTGGTATACTGCCAATCCATGAGAGTTCCTATTAAATAATAAACAAATTTTGAATATTTGTTTAAATATTACATATAAATTACATTTATGGCTGTAATATATCAATGTGTTCTATTAGTTGTGATTTTCTCATACTGAAATAAATCATAAAGATAAGCATGTTTAAGCTAACATCAAAGCTAAATAATCCCTTTTTTAAATTCAGCATTTATTTTTCCTAGAGTTTTATTTTATTTACCTATTTGTACATTCAATATGCATTTCTTAACTACCTGCTTTGTACCAGGCACAATGCCAGGTGCTAGGGACACAGCTATGAACAGCAAATACAAAGTATCACTTTGTGTGGAGTTTAGGGTCTAACAGGAGAAACAGACATTTTACAACTACTAACACAAACACATTTAATTACAATAGTGATTAATAACACAAAGAATAAATATGGGAGTATGAGACTGTATTGAGAGAGAAACAGTTAATCTATTCTGAGGAAGTGAAGCTAAGCTTCTCAGAAAGTGAGAGTGAAAGTTGAAACCCACAGGATAAATTGGACAATATAACACTCATTCAAAGTTATTGGAAATCATCTTACATTAGTTCCGAAAAGCCCTCAATCCACTTTTGACAGGCACAGCAGGAATATATTTTTATTACATACTATCAGTTCACTAGTGTAGTCGTTAACATAGGACTTCCTTTAAAGATAGATTCAACATGGTCAACAAAATCAGATTTTGTGGAAAGGTATCTATTAAATTAACCATTTGTCTTAGTTTAAGCTCCTATATCAAATTGCCATAGACAGAGTAGGTTATAAACAACAAAAATTTATTCCTCATAGTTCTGGAGGATGGAAGTCCAAAATCAGGGTGCCAGCATGGTCAGATTCTGATGAGGGTCCTCTTACGAGTTGCAAAGTGCCCACTTCTCACTGTATCTTCACATGGTAGAAAGAGTGTGAGGGAGCTCTCTGGGGTCCCTTTTCTAAGAGCGCTAATCCCATTCAGAGCGTGGAGCCCTCCCAAAGGCCCCACTTCCTAATATGATCACCTTAGAGATCAGAATTCCAACATACAAGTTTCAGAGGGACAGAAACATTCAGAAATAAAAGGAAGAGAGGATGAAGAAATAAGAAGAGGACATTTTTCTTTATGTGTTAATTTTGTGTGACTGACTCCCTACATAATGCTTAACTATTCTTTCTTGTTTTAATCACATTTCTCCAGAATTTTTCTATTCAAAGAAAATACTTTTGAGACAGTCTTTCCAGCAGCACACATATCTAGAAACTTCTCACTCGATACTCCTTCTGCACCAAATCTCATCTTTTCTTGGCTGACTCATGCCCCAATTCTTGTCGTCTTCAGCCCAGACTCTGCTTACTCTCTGCCTGGAGAATGCATTCCTTTCCTCCTTACTCCCTATGGCTCCTCTATTCCTAAACTAGCTATCCATATGGTCTCTTATTCTCTTTCCTTCCATTTTCCTCTTCTAACCTCTTCTCCTCTCTCCCTTTCCTCTTTGTTAGCCTCTCTTCCTTCTTAAATCTTGATTGCAGAAGCAAATGTAAAAGCCTGTCAAGCAATCCTAGGAATTGCTTATAATTCATTAAATATACATATTTATATACGATTTTGCAAAAATAAAGATATCAGGTACTCTGACTTGATGAATTTCATGAGAAAGTTATGTCATACTTCACTTAATGAAAATTAAGCATTTGTAATATATAATGAAATAACACTGAATTAGAAGTCAAGAAAATTATGTTCTAGCCAATTTTGAAAAATCAGTATATAAACAGATAATCTCTCTGAAAATCAGTGTGATAATTTTTGAAAAGAGGGTACCAGATTATTTGATCTCCATCTTATATATTTTTATAAATTTAAATTTATTTTATTTTATTTTGAGACAGTCTCTCTCTGTCACCCAGGCTGGAGTGCAGTGGCGCAATCTTGCCTGCAACCTCTGCCTCCCAGGTTCAAGCAATTCTCTTGCCTCAGCCTCCCAAGTAGCTGGGATTACAGGCACCCACCACCACGCCCAGCTAATTTTTTGTATTTTTAGTAGAGATGGGGTTTCACCATGTTGGCCAGGCTGGTATTGAACTTCTGACCTCAAGTGATCCACCCACCTCGGCCTCCCAAAGTGCTGGGATTACAGGCATGAGCCACCATGCCCAGCCTATAAATTTAAATTTAAACTGAAAAATTAATTCAAGGCTAACATTTCTGAGTTTTAGCATACAGACTAATTTGAATGATTTTACTATATTCTACTAGAATACAGACACAAAAGTTTATGACATTAAATGTGCCTTAGAAAATGATAGAGTAATGGCCTGAAAAAAATGACATCCACACTCAAAAATATTATAAAACCAAATTCAACCAGCACCGAATCCCACAATCTCAATTGATAGCCCAGCTCAAGGTTCACAAAATCTTCTTATTTTTTATATGAATGCCATGTGAGAGACAATAAGAGACAAACTGGTTCATGCAAGTAAGTCCTGTTTTCCCAACATAATCATAAATTATTGTCTAAACGTTAAGAACCGTATCTTGTGCCTTTTCTTTATATTAGTTTCAAACAAACTGACCTGAACTAAATTAATAATGTACATAGAAAGCTAAGACATTCACATAAAATATTAACTTTTCTTTTCTTTCTTTCTTTTTTTTTTTTTTTTTTTGAGAAAGGGTCTCACTTTCTTGCCCAGGCTGATATGCAGTGGCACCATCTCATCTCACTACATCCTGGACCTCCTGGGCTCAAGTTATCCTCTCACCTCAGCCCCCAAGTAGCTGGGATGACAGGAGTGCACCACGACGCCAGGCTAATTTTTGTATTTTGTGTAGAGGCAGGGTTTTGTCATGTTTCCTAGCCTGGTCTTGAACTCCTGGACTGAAGCAATCTGCCCACCTCGGTCTCCCAAATTGCTGGGATTAATTTATCTTTTAAATACAACATTAACTCTGAAGCAGTAAAAATAAACAAATTGAAAAGTAATATATAAAGTTAAATAATGTTTTCATAGTCGTTGGAAATGGAACTGGAAATTAAGAACAACAAAACTCTTTACTTCACTAAAATAAAGGCACATAAGCAATGATTATGATACTTTTTGGAAACCTACAAAAGTGGTATTTTCATGAGGAAAACTTAAGTAAGAAATTATTTAACTGAAATGTTCAAATAATAGATTTTCCTCTTCTTTTCTTCCTTTCCCCCCACAGCTTACAATTTCTCTTTAGAGACCTTTCATAACATGTTTAACACCATAAGAAGTAAAATCATTAAATTCTTCACTGATCATCTTTCCGTATTGTTTATTAGAAGTTTTAACACACATGGGCATTCATGCAAACATATGCCTCAATTTTTTTTAAATCAAAAAAAAATATGGCCAGCCTCTAGTGAGAGTAAGCTCATATTGGTGAATGTATGGCCTACATTGGAATAAAAATGCTTATGATTAAATATTGAAAATTTCCCCAAATGTAATATAAATCTCTGGTGATGACAACAAAAGGAAGAAACCAAAAAAACATCAATATCCTTAAGGAATCATCAGCTTCTTTTTGTTTGCTCCAGTTATAAATTTTGCATTTGCACATTGCTGCCTAGACTTTCAAAGGGTTCTGCAATGATTAATTTAACAATCTACCCATATTGCTCTAATATAACCAAAAACTTTTACATATATATAATTTATAATATCCGAATTAAGGATAAACTAGTGGCCAAAATAGAAGTTCCAACATCCAGGCATGTTATTAATGCAGAAATGGCCAAGTGTCACCAAAATATGGCTACTTAAACAAATACTTCTCAAGCTTGGGTGCTTTACCTCTAAAGATACATGGAAACGCACATAACAGTGCATATTTATGACAGTCAATTTGACCTGATTGTTTGACAGTAAAAAATGAATGTGTAAAAATTCTAATACTTACAAATATATATTGAATGCTTACTAAATAAATGGCAGGCCTTGTACTGAGTGCTTTGCATGAATTATTTCATGTAATTCCCTCAATAACCCTCAAAGGTGCACATAATAATAGAGATTGGCACACTTTTTTGTACAGAGCTAGAAAAAAACATTTTAGATTTCGTGGCCATGTAAGGTCTCAGCGTTGCATGGCTCAACTCAGTTGTGGTAGGGAGAAAGAGGACATAGGCGATGTGTAAAGGAATGGGCATGGCTATATTTCAATAAAACATTATTTACAAAAACAGGCAGCACTCACACTTGGCCCACAAGCAATATCCTTTGCAGACCCCTGCAATTAAAATTCTCATTTTACCACTGTTAGTATGTAACATTCATATGCCCACACAGCTGGCCAATGAATTCAGGTCTCTTATTGCAGGATCAAAGCTGTTAACTACTACATATATCTGCTTCTTGCCAGCAATTTACACAGATATTCTATGGTAAAATAAAAACAAATATATTCTGGAGTAAAAGGCAAACTGATGTGTTTATAAAAAACAAAACAAAATACTAGAAGAAACCTTGCGTTTACAATGCTAGTGATGCACACTCTAGGAAATAAAAGTCTATGCTCCCCAAAACATCAAGATATCTGATGAAATTTAGAGAATTCAGTCTATGCTTTAAAAATGAGCCTTCTTTCAACTGTTATATACTTTTTAAAGTTCCATGGAATCTTTTAGGGTTTTTCTTCATATATAATGACACGGAGGAATTGCTAAAACCATGCACCAGGTGCTATACATTGTCATCAAAGTCCATGCCCATTTGCAAATGTACAGTGTATGGCCAGACTGAGAATAATGATTTATGTTCAGGTCAAAATCCTGCCCAGGCAGGAAGACCCTGCGCTATTTAACACAGTCTGATTTCACTTGGAATAAAATCCAGTCCACAGTCCTGGTTACAGGTCCAGTATAATCTGATCCAGTCTAATATTTCAACTACTGCCCACTAAGCACCAGCTATAGTGCCCTTTTTTCTGTTCTTGAAGCACAGACAAGCTCATTTCAGACATAGGTATTTCTTACCAGCTATACTCTCTGCCTAGAATTCTCTTCCCTTGAGTCAGACCCTAGCCAAATGTCAATTAGATTTCACGCAAATATGATCTCTTAGAGGACTTCTCTGGACACCCAGTTACTCTGCCAACCATATCACTTTTGGTTATGTTTTGCTTAGCATTTATGTGACACTATGATCATTTCGTGGTTTATTATTATTTACTTTAAGTTATGTGCTATTATGTAGCATTTTTAAATTGATTATCAATCTTCCTCAATATAATAAATCTATGCTGTAGATGTACAGATGTCACGTTTATTTAGTTGTTGCTGTATTCCCAGAGCCTAGCAGCTGGCCTGGTGCTTAGAAACCATACGGTAAATATTTGTAAACTGAAGAAATGAATGACACATATTGTTCTGCAGGCTACACCATATTGCCATTTATGGTTTTATTCACTTCATTTTGGTCAATCATGCACAGAAAAGAAAAAGTTGTTTAGACCTCACAAAATGATTTAAAATTCACAGTGCCTTGTTATTTTATTCAAAAAAGTTTCTTTTTAGAACTGATAGTCATTGCTGTCTAAAAATGGGGGAAAAACTATTGTTTACCTCTTCATAAAGTTTATTTAAAAAATAAATATGGCAGGCCAGGAGTGGTGGCTCACACCTGTAATCCCAGCACTTTGGGAGGCCAAGGTGGGTGGATCATGAGGTCAGGAGATCAGGACCATCCTGGCCCACATGGTGAAACCCCATCTCTACTAAAACTACAAAAATTAGCTGGGCTTGGTGGCGCACACCTGTAATCCCAGCTACTTGGGAGGCTGAGGCAGGAGAATCACTTGAACTCGGGAGTCAGAGGTTACAGTGAGCCAAGATTGAGCCACTGCACTCCAGCCTGGCGACAGAGCAAGATTCCATCTCAAAAACAAATAAAAACAAAAACAAAAAATAAATAAATAAATATGGCAATTAATTCTGCTAACTATTCGTCTTGTCATATTATTTTAATTATTTGAAATTTGTGTATTTTATCTTTAATTTCTTTTGCATAATATTACCTTATTTATGTAATTTTGTCAAAATGTTTCCCAGTTTAAAAATCGTTTTATTTGACCTTAGTCAAGTCTAAAATGTCATCCATTATGCAATTGGTAACAATTTAATTCTTTTTTCTTAACTCTTTTCTAATTGAATTTCCCAACACTTAAGTTTTATTTTAATTCAACTTTTATGTTAGAATTTTTATCATTTATTACTTTTTTGTATTTGTTATTATTTTCTAAATTTTATCGTAGGACAGCATAAAAAGTATAGATAAATGAAGATCACAGATAAGAAGAGCCAGATTTACACAAGAAATGTTATGCTCCTGTTCATCTAAGATTAACTGTGTATTAACCCCACAAGTCCTTAGGACTAAATCCACTTTTACCAAAATTCATGTTGTTGAAAGTCACTAAACTGGATACTCACTGAAACTGATGTTCTCTTTGTCAGCATGTCACTATTCATATAACTATCAAGGGTTTTCTGGGTCAGTGTTCAACTTTCCTATGCTAAACCACTGATTTCCAATAAGAAGGAATTTGTAACCTCAACCCTACCACCTCCTCCCCTGTCATCTCTGCTTATGAGCTATGCCATATGTCAGTACTTTGCACAAGGAAAGAAAGGGGAGGCACCATCTAGTTAAATCCACGGTGCTTCTTCCATTGAAAACCCTTCTTGAGAAGTATTTTATTTAAGAAATATAAATTCTGAATGTTATTACTTGATTAAATCAGGCATTTAGGAAAGCCGCTTATTTGTGCAACACTATCTTTCTCCTTTTCAGAAAAGCCCTCCTAAATTACATTTTCAAAACCTCTTTCAACCTTCACTAAAGGTCACGGAATACGTTTGTGATATTTGCTATTTCACTGACATGTAGAACTGTCATTGTGAACACTTCCCACAACATTATTCAATGACCCCCAAACAATACATACATGAGATAATAACTGTCAGTTATGATATATCTGTTAACTCCTTAAGATGATTTCCTCTCCCCTTTGGCTGCTGGCAGTCTGCATGCTGGGATAAAAAAGAGAAAACTATCCTTTATTGGGAATCCATAATGTGTCCAGTGCTTTATCCATATAATCATATTTAATTTTCTCACTACACTTTTGGTAGGGTAGAGGGTAGTCAAAATCTTTACTTTTACCTGTTTAGGGTATCCAGCTGAGTCTGAGAGTTAGATTGACATAAGACGGATTAACAGGAGAAAAGCATACAAATTTATGTAATATAAGAGCCTTCATAAGGAAACGTTGACTCAAAGAAGTAGCAAAACCTGAATGCTTATAGGCTGGGTTGAACGAAGAATCACAAATATGGAAAAGTAACTAAAACGAATGGAGACACTAAAGGAAGAGTAGAGTTATTTTTAACAAGGTCTGTTTGTACAGAATCCTCTAGTCCCACCTCTGGTGATAAGAACATTTCTTTCCTCCTGGCATAAGGAGGGCAGCTCTTAGGAGTTACATCTGCTTTCAGGAAGAAAAAAGGGGAATGAAAGTGTCCTTCTTGTGCCTGTTTTTCAAGTGCCTTTTACTGAAAACTCAAAACCAGTAATATGCCTACGTGGCCAATTTTGGGATGACATATCCTCAACCCCTTCAAGGAGTTATTATCCTCTAATTACTAATGAGGAAACTGAAACAGATATTAAGTGATTTTCCAAAATCACCTGGGCAAACAAATGAAGGACTGGAACATTGGTCTACATCTGTCTGTCTCTTCACCCTCAAAAACACAGCTCAAAGCCAAAAAAAACTTTAAAGTCAGATTTTACTCTCAGACACGGAAAATATACCAATGATTACAGGTAATATATTTCTGTACTTCTAAAATCTTATTTTCTAATGTTTGCTCCCTAGGATTTTGGGGGTTTTTTTTTGGTTTTTGTTTGTTTTTGCTTTTTTGCTTTCTTTTGTTATTTTGCTTGTTATTGATATATTAGTGAAGTTAATAAAGCTTTGGATGTTGTCACAAGCAGCTCATGGACTTTATGGCAATTGCCTTTTCTAGAGCCCACTTATTCACAAATTTTCTCTTTTGATTTATACCTTTACAAAGTGTTTCACTGTTAATATTGTTGGTTGCTAATGGTCAAACCTACTTTGGAAAGAATTGCAGTATTAGAACATTTTAGTGCAGACGTTAGAGATTGTAAACATATAAATTGCTCACAATAGAGTCTCGTAGAGCTCAAATTTGGCACTCAGACTTGTTACTAACATAAAAACGTGATTGAAATTTATTCACAGCCAGTTACAAGAGGGATAAATGAGGAAAAAAGAGTAAAAAGGTATTTAAAATCAATAAAGATACAAATGTGAGGAAATAATGCAATAGGCACAGAAACATGTGAAAGTGTCAAGAAAATAATGGATTACACAAAAATTAGTATTGCTCTGAAGTATAAAGTCTTCTCCAAATTATCTTACTTTTCCAACTATTATGATGCTACATGATGCTACATGTCTGGCCCACTGGTTCAAATTTTGAGTTTTACCCTAGAGCAATAGCAGTACTAAGTCAGCAACTCTCCCTATCATCATCCAAGGATACAACCCCTTGACCTTTGATACAGCATGTTAATCAGTGAAGTATTTTAAAAATCCTTTTACAGACACTTGCTAGTCTTTGGCAATAGTTTTAAAATAAACTGAAAAGTATCTCTTTTAAAGTTGAAAGAGTACTAAGTAGTTGAAGATAAATATGTTCTTGTGAATAAAATTTTGTCCATGTTCATAAACAAAAGGTCTACATTTGTTTCTCATAATCCATAAACACTTCATAAGAAAAGACCTATTTGAAGGTTGATTATCTTATTAAAACAGGAAAAAGAACACCATTTTTGAGAAATTGGGGGTGGCATATATATTTCTAATGTGGCTTTTGAGAGACAAGGTTTGAATATGGCCCAGGAACTTCAGAGGTACTGTCATCACAATGGCTGGCAGAAGCAAAAATACCATAGCTCTCTGAAGCGCCAAGGCTTGCGGAGAACACCTGTGACTGCAGGTGGCTCTACTTGAAAAGAACTGCACCCCTTTCCTCTTCAATGGGGGGCACCGTGTTCCACAGTGGGTCAGAGGTGACCAGGGTGCTTTCAAGTTTAGTTTTATAATTTTGAAGAACTGGATTGTGAGCACTGACAAGTTCCCAATTTAGCCCGTTAAAAACATAAAAGTGGTTGGCTTTCCCTCCTTTAACATAAACCTTCATTCACTAACTACAGCAAGGGATTTCATCTAGCGACCTTCTTTTGAAATCCAATTTAAATTAAATGATTGATTTTAAGATTTTGCCAGACATATACTGGGGCTTTAAAAAAAAAAAGTAATCTTTATAGTACTCTCAATGGAGATTAAGTCAGGTTAGAAAAAAAAAATTGTCACTAAAGAGTGATTTTTTTTCCCCTGCTACCTTGTATACAAATTATTTATAGGAGTCTAGAAGACAGAACAGCACCAAATCTTAATACACTGAAAATATTTTGACACAATTGCACTTTTCAAGTATAAAATAGCAAACAAGGATGTGGCGGATGCATTCCTGTACTGGGCAATGGCTAAGAAATTTCTGACTAAAATATAATATGAAAAGTCAGAACTCATCTGGTATAGTACATTCAGTTCAGTATTCTACATTTAAGAGGGATATAGACAAATTCAGGTTTGTTAATAAATAAGAATTCAAAACCAAGTAATGCAATAGGAAAAACAATTGGGGGAAAATGGAAATACAAGCTCTGGAAATAGAAGCAGCCCAGGGTATAATATTCAAAGGCACACGATGTAGAAAAGTGATTGGATCGGCTTTGTGAGCTTCCATGGGTTACAAATTGGTAGACAGATTCTAAACTCAATATAAAAAAGAATTTTCTAATGGAGAGACCCGTCCAAATACGAAATGAGCTATCTTACAAGATCAGTTTCATCTTCTGAAGACCTTCAAGGGAAAGGTGAATTAGGGATGCTAAAGAAAAGACTAAAGATTAAACTATAATATTGAGGTCCTTTCCAAGTCTAGAGTCTGAATTTTTTAGGATGAGAATTGTCTATAATTGGACAGCTCTCAAGCTGATAAAGAGGGCATGTCAAAGTAAAATACAAGCATATAATGAATAGCATTAGTTAGTAGAAGAAATAAATATAACTAAGACATAGTTTGCAAATGCTTTTTTGATGAAGAGTCAGGGAATATCCAAACACAAGCAACGTGACAAGTTTTTGAATTATGAAAAACAGGATATACTGAAGAAACACAAGAAAAACCTCAAGAGAAATCATATTGGAAAAAAGCATTTTTGACATCATGCCTAGTAAAAGCAAACATTATTACTAATCTTACTAATATGCATTAATCAGTACTAACTTAGCAGTGGTGGGAAGAAACAAACACTAGTTTAAGAGCGCAAACTTTCAAATTATAGGAATATTAGAACTTTTTAGGCAGGAATGGTTCATAAGACATTTTCTTTATCAAGATTACGTATCTACTAAAATCATGCCACTTTTACAGTGTTAAATCCACGCTCCTTTAAAAAAAAAAAAAAAAAAAAAAACTTAAAGAAGCTCTCTGGTTCCTCATGTTGCCTCTTCCTGCTGGCTTTATTCTGCGTTTGACTTTAATGTTTCGTCAAATCCATTCCAGATTTCCATTTGATTTCGGTGGACTTTGAAGATGGATCACCACGCTCATTAGGATGAAATTCTTTGGGAATAATTTTATTTTCAAAGTAAGGATTTTCATCAAAATAAAAATCTATCCTGTAACCTGATTTAATATCTTCAAATTCTGTCACTTCAACTCTGGTCAAATAATGCAGTGCATCTTCGTCCTTCTCCCCAAGCAGTGCGAACACTGGTGGATGGTTGAGAAATGTTGTTACCCCCAAATTTGGGATGTTGGCGATCAGTTCTGACCTCTTCTGAAAAAGTGGTTGGCGGAGTTTGTTACATTTCTATTCGACTTTCAAAATCTCCTCACATTAAGTCTATTTCATTTTGTACTTCATCACTGTGTTCAATTGCTTCTTACTGTTCTTCTTGTCCCTTTTTAGGCAAGCCTGCAGGAGCAGATGTCTCCTTGGGTCCCACAGCAGGAGGTGGTCCAGAGAGCTTCTTTACCTGATTTGCTGACTATTCTGATGCAGGTGTGGATGAGTTAGGAGAGTTCATCAAAGACAATATTTGGCCAAAACCATTACAGTACTACTTGGTTCCTGATATGGATGATGAAGAAGGAAAAGGAGAAAAAGATGATGATGATGATGACGATGATGACGCAAAGGAGGAAGGATTAGAAGATACTGATGAAGTAGGGGATAAGGATGAAGGTGAAGAAGATGAAGATGATGAAGGGGAGGAAAGAGAGGAGGATGAAGGAGAAGATGACTAATAGAACACTGATGGATTCCGACCTTCCTTTTTTAAAATGTTCTCCAGTCCTTGGGAGCAAGCTGCAGTCTTTTTTTTTTTTTTTAATCTTGTCCTCAGTCACCCTGTTCTTGAGGTCTCTTTTCTCTACACCATGATTCTCAACTTATTTTGGAGAAAATACCTTGAGCAGAATAGAACAGGAAAAGAGTCTCTACCCCTTTCTGTTCAAAATTCATTTTTATCCCTTCCTGTCTGAACTATATGGAATCAACACCCCCAAGCTCTGTGGGAAAAAAGAAAAAACCTGCTCCCTTCACGCTACTGGAATCTGGAGGGTGCTAAGTCCCTGTGTAGTAGTGCATACAATTCTAGTTTTTTCCTCCTTTCTCTGTATATTGGGATCAGAGAGCACACTGTGTCTCTATGTGAATATGGACAGTTAGCATATACCAACATGTATCTGTCTATTTTCTCTTGTTTAAAAAAAGAAAAAAAAAACTTAAACAATGGGGTTATAGAAGGTCAGCAAGGGGTGAGTTTGAGACGTTTCAGTGGGTTAAGTGGGCATTTTGACAATATGATTTCTCCTTTGGCATGTTTAATTGTGATATCTGACAGACATCCTTGCAGTTTAAGATGACACTTTCAAAATAAATCCTCCCCTAATGATGGCTTGGGCCCTGCCACTCAGTGGGAGAATCAGCAGAACCTGTAGGGTCTTACTTGGTATTAACATTCTCTATTGTAATTATGTTCTTGTTTATTTTTAAATTTTCTCTTTGTTTCACTGGAAAGGAAAGATGATGCTCAGTTTTAAACATTGAAAGTGTACAAGCTTTGTTACAATAAAACTAAACGTGTTCACACACACACACCAAAAAAAAAAAAAAACCCTTAAAACTACTGATAGCATTCATAAACTCTGAAACAAAGGTAAGTTGCTTAGTGAACCCCAAAATCTGAGTTACTTTTTTTTGTTTTTTTAGAGTCAGGTCTGGCTCTGTTGTCCAGTGGTGTAATCATGGCTCACTGCAGCCTGAAACTCCTGGGGTCAAGTGATCCTCCTGCCTCAGCCTCCCAAGTAGTTGGGACTACAGGTGCACACCACCACTCTTGCTTCACAATTACTTTTAAAGCATCTATCTCATCTAATATTACTAGGTCAACAATTTTTAAAATATCTTTCTCTATAAATTTGGTGTGTGTCCCCTATATCTCAATCTAATCTAGGGGGGGAAAAAACCCTACCATAATTTCTGAACTGCGAAATTGAAGATTAGTTCTCAATCAAAATGTTCTTAATTGGCATTGATGTTCTAAGTGACTGCATAAGCAGCAGATGTCCCTGATTTGACTAAATTAAAATACAAGTTGCTTTTTAAGAATCTATTTGAGGCCAGACATGGTGGCTCATGCCTGCAATCCCAACTCTGTGGGAGGCCAAGGCGGGGGCTGGGGTGGGGAGTATTGCTTGAGCCCAGGAATTTGAGACTTCTTTTCTACAAAAAAAATAAGGAAAATCAGCACGGTGACTCATGCCTATAATCCCAGCACTTTGGGAGGCTGAGGTGGGCAGATCACAAGGTCAAAAGATCCAGACCAGCCTGGCCAACATGGTGAAAACCCTTCTCTACTAAAGATACAAAAAATTAGCTGGGCATGGTGGCACGTGCCTGTAATCCCAGCTACTCAGGAGGCTGAGGCAGGAGAATCGCTTGAACCCAGGAGGCGGAGGTTGCAGTGAGCCAAGAGATCATGCCATTGCACCCCAGCCTGGGAGACAGAGTGACATTCCATCTCAATAAATAAATAAGGAAAATTAGCTAGGTGTGGTGGCATGTGCCTGTGGTTCCAGCTACTTGGGAGGCTGAGGTGGGAGAATCGTCTGAGCCCAGGGCCCAGGAGCTCAAGGCTACAGTGAGCTGTACTCCAGCATAGGTTACAGAATGAGACTTTTTTCTCAAAAAAAAAAAAAAGTTTTGTATTGTTTTAAAAATAAAGAATCTATTTGAAAATGTATTAGCTATGTCAATAGGTTTTTGAAAATGAAGACTACTGCCAAATGCCGTCAAGAGGGAATACTTAAATAATTATTAATCGTGGGTATATTTTCTTCCAGCTGCTTTAGAATTTGTATGCAAAACCAAAATTCTTAAACTTTTTATCTTGAGAAAGCTGTAGATTTATATGCAGTTATGAGAAATGATACAGAGGGGTACTGTGTTCACTTTACCCATTTTCCCCAAATAACATCTGGAAAACTGTGGTACAATATCACAGCCAGGATATTGGCATCAATACAGCCAAGATACAGAACAATTGTGTCACTAGAAGGAATCCTCTTGTTCTTTCATAGTTGCATCCAGAGCACTCCTGTTTTCTCACCACCACCCTCAGCCCTGGAAAACACTAATTTCTTCTCCATTTCTTTGTCACTACAAGAATGATAATATAAATGGGATTAAACAAAATGGAATATGTCCCTTTGGGGACGAGCTTTTGCTACTCCACATAATCCTCTGGAGATTCATTCAAGTTGTGTGTATTAACAGATTACTCATTTTTATTGCTGAGTAGTACTCCATGATATGGATGTACTACACTCTGTTTAATATACTGAAGAACAAGTGGGTTGTTCTCAGGTACTGGCTATGATGAATAAAGTTACAATGAACATTTAAGTGTATGTTTCTGTGTGAAAACAGTTTTAATTTATCTGGAATACATATGCAGGAGTGCAACTGCTTGCTGGCATGTATGACAACTGCATATTTAGTTTTACAAGAAACTACTACATTGTTTTGCAGTGATTATAGTATTTTACATGCACACCAGGAATGATCCAGTCTTCTTGAATCCTCACCAGCATTTGGTGTAGTTACTATTTTAATTTTAGCAGTCTGATAGATATGTAGTGATATCTCATTGTAGTTTTAGTATCCATTTCCCTAATGATGTTGAATATATTTTCATCTGCTTATTGGCCATCTATATATTCTGTTTTCTTGCCATTTTATGATTATTTTAATTGTAGCGTTTTGACACATTTATGTATTGTGGATTTGAGACCTCTTTGGGTATATGCTTTGCAAACATTTTCTCTGAGTTTCTAGCTTGTCATTTCATCATCTTAACAAGAACTTTATATCACAATCTTGAAGTAGTCCAATTTATCAATTTTTCCTTGTATTGACAGTATTCTCATGTCAAGTCTAAGAACTCTTTGACTAATCCTACAGCTGAAGATTTTCTCCAGTTTTATTTTTCTAACATTTTCACATTTTACGTGTTAATCTATAATCTATTTTAGTAAACTTTTGCATAAGGTAGAAAATTTAGGTTGAAGTTTATTTCTATGGATGTCCAACAGCTCTCGTATCATTTGTTGAAAAGTCTATCATTCCTCCACTGCAATGCTTTTGTGCTTTTGTCAAAAATTAGTCGTGCATATTTGCGTAGGTCTATTTCTGGGTTGTCTATTCTGTTCCATCAATATGTCTATCCCTCCACTGATACCACACAGTCTTGATTACTATAACTATATAAGAGTAAAAATTGGGGAGACTGATTGCTCCCACTTTATTCCACTTTTACAAGATTGTTTTAAGTGTTCTAATGTTTGTCTTACCATATAATTTTGAAATAATCTCTATGTCTACATCTGTAAAAATGTCTTCCAAGAATTTGATAGGAATTGTCTTAAACAGCTTTTGATTTGGAGAAAAATGACATCTTTACTACTTTGAGTTGTCCAATCTGTGAACACAGTATGCATCTCCATTTATTTAAATTTTCTTTTTTCATCAGTGTTTTATAGTTTTCATTATACATTCCTGTATATATTTTATTGGATTTACATCTTACTACTTCTTTTAAGAGAGAAACAA
This sequence comes from Homo sapiens, assembly GCF_000001405.40. Lineage (NCBI taxonomy): Eukaryota > Metazoa > Chordata > Mammalia > Primates > Hominidae > Homo > Homo sapiens. Next base: position 81,616,948 of record NC_000003.12, read on the forward strand.
CTTCAAGGAAGGGATGTAGGAAGGGAAAGAGAGAAGGAGGGAGAGAATAAGTGTTTATAAATAGTATATTTTTTAATTTTAATAACCACCTGTTCATTACTAGTATATAGAAATACAACTGCAACCTTGCTCATCTCATTTATTAAATTCTGGAGGGGTTTGTTTAGATTCCTTGGTATTTTCTATATTCTATATATACAATCATGTCAACCACAAAGAGAAAGGAAAGTTTTATTTATCCATTCTGATCTCTATGTCTTATTTTCTTTTCTTTTTATTTATTTTTGGCTTTATTTCATTAGCCAGAATTCCCAGCACTGTGTTAAATAAGAATGGTGATAGTGGACTTCTTTGTCTTGTTCCCAAAGTTAGAAAGAAAGAATTTAGACGTTAGCCACTAAGTATATTGTCACATTTCAGTTTTTAACAGATCTTCTTTATTAAGACTTGACAGTTCCCCTCTGTTCCTATTACTCTGAGCCATTTTATTTCAAATGGGTGTTTAATTTGGCAAAATACTTTTTCTTCATCAACTAATATAATTTTTTTCTTCTTTAGCTTGTTACTGTGTTGTGTTGGGATTTTAAATACAAAACAAGCTTAATATTTCTAGAATAAACCCTACTTGGTTATGGTGTATAATTCTTTTTATATATTGCTGAATTGTATTTGCTAATATCTTGTTAAGAATTTTGCTCCTAATTCACGAGGAATATTGACCCGTAGTTATCTTCTTATTACTATCTTTATCTGGTTCTAATATTAGGGCAATACTGGCTTCATAAAATGAATTGGGTAGTGTTCCTTCTTTTTCTCTTTTCTGGAAGAATCTATACTAGATTAGTGTGAATTCTTCTTCAAATGTTTCAGAAAATTGCCCATTGAAAACACATGTACATGTAGGTTTTCCTATGTTACATGCTTTTAAGTTACAAATTAAATTTTATTAATAGTTACAGGGTAATTATAGTATTTCAGATTTGGTAAGTTGTGGTAGCGTTTTTTTAGAAATAGATCCATTTCATCTAAATTACCAAATGTATGTATGTAGAGTTATTCCTAGTATCCTTTTACTGTTATTTTGATGTCTGCACAGTGACATAAGTTAAAAATTAAAGAGAAGGAAACTTTATTGTATTTAGCCGTACTTTTACTCTTTCCATTTTTTCTTCTCCATTTCATAGAATGTCCATTAACCATTCTAGGATAAGTCTGCTGGCAACAAATTATCTTAGTTTTCGTTCATCTGAGAATGTCTTAATTTGATCATCATTCTAGAAGAATATCTTCACTGTTTTCTAATTAATAAACTTGTAAGAAATATCTTAATGCACAAAGCATTTTTAACTTATAGTTGGCCTACAGCCTTAGAATAGATTACCTTATATTTAATAATTCAATGATCATTCTCTAGGACTTATTAACGTAAGTACTCACAAATTGTTTTCCAGAAAGCTTGCAGAAAATTAGACACCATGAAAAAACTGTAGAGAAGTGATCCCTAGTTGACCTCAGAAAACTCAACTCCACACTCCATGATTCTACATGATCCCACTGAAAAGGATCATTTTCGTGTTAATTTTTAGGCAGGACAAAGAGGAATAAACTTTGAATAGCAGTGAGAAGTTTCTTTCGCCTTTGACATTCTAAATCAGGAACTGTTTCCTCACATGCCGTTTCACCTTGGCATTTTGCTTCACTTTTCTCTCACGGTTCAGAAATTTCATTGAGGATGCATATCCTATCCTGAATCTCCCTTTGTATTAAGAGGTTAGAAATGAATTTAGGCCAACTCTCATTTTACACATGTAGAGTAAATCCTTGAAAAAGAAGCATTACTTAGTTACTTGCATACTTACTTGAAAAATTAAGACTACAGCTAAAGTTATTGATGTTCCTTTAGTGATATTTGCTCTTCATAAATCTACTCATCAGTCATTTTCTCAGCCTGGAAAACTGCTACACACCCAGAAAAGAAACACTGTACCTAATATACTTTTGGAAATCTTTGAACTTATATATGAGATTCTTTTTAAAAAAATGACTCTTTAAATTATATCAAAATAATGCAAACATGCAGAAAATTACTATAATTTTGTCATCTATTGCAAGGAACATGTAATTTTCATTCACTTATTTTTAAAACGGTATCTCTGGTAAAATCATCAATAATATTGATATATTTAGCATTTGTCTCTGCCCTATAAAAAGAAGAATAACAACGATATTCTGCAGACCCCTCAGCACCATGGCTAAACTATGCATGTAGTATTCATTCTATAAAAAAAATTGTCCTTCATATTATCCAAGTCTTTATGAACTTGATCCAAATTTATCTTGTAAATATATCTACACATACATATATGTTAAGATAATCTACCATTTTCTCACTTAGATGGAACAAAATGGTTTTATGGTCTTCTGCTATATCTATCCATGTTGAAATTAGAATAAAAAGAAACATATTTCACATATATTAAGGGTACAACTATAGATTATCATGCTAATTTTTTAAAACTGACAATTAGATTATTTATTTCATTTGAGTGTATATGTCCACATTTGCATTTTAATATAAATTGTTTATTGATTCCATTAATCAAGAGAAAATAAAATGGGAGGTTGGAAATTATTAACACTTAACACATCATTTCATGGGGGCTCATTAAAATAAAGGCTCAAAATTATGACTATGTGGGATGGAAGAAAATTATAAAGCAAATAATTATATACATAATTGTTTTAAAATTATCCTCTAGGTTGGAGACACTCACATTTAAAAATTCTTTAGGGACTTAATTAAAATAGAATTATCACTTTTCAAAAATATGACCAAGAGATTTAATTTTGGCTTTTCACATTTATTTTGACATTTTAAAATGCATTTTAATGTGAGGAAACAAAATACCATTTTACATTTAAAATGAAGTTTTTCTTTTTACCTTTTTTTGTAGATCTCTTAGAGTAAAACCTTTTCATAGCAAGTTAAAAAACGTAGCATTAAAATGTCATCACCATTAAAAAACATATACATTTATGAGCTAAAATATCTCCATATTTAAAAAAATATACTTTGCAAATTAATTTATTTAAAAATAAATCATAATTTTTATTTAAAAATATTGCTTTCATAAATTCCTCAGGAAACTAAATTAAATCAATGACATAAAACAGCAATTTAAAAGGCTGTCATATATGACAGCATGAGAAGGTCAAATTATTTTTGACATGGAAATAATTTTTTTTTTTTTTTGAGATGGAGTCTCGCACTGTCATCTAGGCTAGAGTGCAGTGGCACGATCTCTGCCCACTGCACCCTCCACCTCCCGGGTTCAAGTGATTCTCCTGCCTCAACCTCCTGAGTAGCTGGGATTACAGGGGCCTGCCACCACGCCCGGCCATTTTTTTGTATTTTTAGTAGAGATGGGGTTTCACTCTGTTGGCCAGACTAGTCTTGAACTCCTGACCTCGTAATCCGCCCGCCTCGGCCTCCCAAGACATGGAAATAATTTTTAATAACAAAAGCCAAAATTAATGGCAGACCATCTTGTTTTAATATATGAAATTTAAAGAGCACTTAGTATATATACTTTTATTTTAGAAAGTATTCTAATAGTTAACGAGCATTTATTTGAGCACAAGCATATGCTATGGAAATAAAGTCAAAAGGCAAGTCGCTGAAATGACGTGGTCCGGTAAAAAGAGTAAAATGGGGAGGGTTTTTATTTTGGGAAGTGTAATTTATACAATATTAGATTTGTTTAAGTAGATTATACTTAAACAGTATTTAAATAAAAAAGGAACGTCCTGATTGAGTTGCAGTGAGGTGGCGGGAAGAATGTCAACCAGGCAGGAATGAGGATGAGGACAGGAGATCTTCTATGAAAGTTTCTTATAAGGTAAGAAAGATATGTGGTCTTAAAATATAAGATAGTCCATAAAGCAGAGGAGGAAGTGCATTCCAAATGAAAGGAAATGTCATGTGTAAAGTCACAGAGACTCAGTATACGAGAGGACAGCAATACCTAGGAACTCTGCAGGGAGACGCTCTCAGCAAGAAGGACCTCACGGAGGCGGGCCCCTGACCTTGGAGTTCTCAGTCTCTATCACTGTAAGAAATAAATTCCTTGTCTTTATAAATTACCCAGTTTCAGTTACTCTGTTATAAGCAACAGAAAAGACACCACTGAATGTTTTCCATTTGTGAGTCACATGTCAAATTTGCATTTTAGAAAGCTTACTCTGCACTTTGGAGAATACATTTGGTGATGGATTGAGTGTATTCGAATCAACTGTCTCTCAAGGTTACCTTATAATTATACCTCCTGCTGTGGCTTATTATTTAATGCTATAATTTAATAGATTCGACCTAGAAAATTGTGAATCTTTTTATTGTTGCTATCATTTTGGAAAAGTTAAGTATATGAAAATGTAAGGGAAATGGAGAAACACCATTGTCATTCAAACATTTTTGAGGGGATCCTAAGAGACTGCCCTCCTCCTGGCTTTCAAAGAGCCCTCGTTGTGACTTAAGGGAAGTCACAGCATGCTTTGGTCTCCTTATAAGGCTGTTCCACAAGCCAAAATATTCAGTACCCTCATCCAACAATTCTTCACCCCCCAACAGAAAATTACTCCTAACCACATCTTTTGTACCTACTATCCTTCTTCGGCTGTCCTGTCCACACTTATCCAAATTAGAATTCTCACGGTCTATTACCCGAATCATTCCTTTACATCACTCTCCTAGTCCTAACAAAACTCCACCTTAGTTGAATTTGATCCCTAAGGAATCCTATCACATTTCCTTAGTGAACTACTCTCCCACTCTTGCAGTGGACAATACCATATTTCCTCTCACCTGGAATTTCCAATACCTCTCCCTCATTCACTTTCACTGGATGGTCTTGCCTTTTATTTAAATGAGAAAATGGAAGCAATTAAAAAGCATCAACACCCAATCAAATCTACCTCTTTCCCTGCAAAAAACCAATATACTTCACCTACTTTTTTATTACATCAGATAAATTGCCCCTGCATTTTTCTAAGAACCCTATCAGCTAAATCCCATCAGCTGAACTATCACCTACCTTAAAAGAAACTTTTTGACTTTTGACCTCCATTCCAGCTACCAAACCCACTTTTCTACTACTTTGTAAATATCCTCTCTCTATACATAAAAGTTTTCTACACTTGCTGCCTTCACTTTCTCACTTTCCATTTTCTTCTTAACCCATATGAATCAGAATTTCAGACCAATCATTCCAACAAAACCATTTTTAGTCCAAATAAATGACCACCATGCTAAATCAATGGCCAATTCTCAATCCTCATCTAAATTAAACTCTGCAAATGCAGCTGGCATTTTGAGCACTAACTCCTTCTAAAACATGCTTATTTAAATAGGTCCTCCCATTTCACCTGCATATCCTTCTTTATCTTCTTAGCTTCCAGCTTCTGTTTTTCTTCCTGACCTCTTTATGTTAGAGTAACTTGGAGCTCAGTAGCTCAACCACATCTTTCTTCACACACACTCTTCAGATGATCTGATACAAGCTCACTGCTTTGAATGCCCTTTACAAACAGATGATTTCTGACTCAAATTGCCAGTCCGAACCTCCCCACTAAATTCCAGGCTTACATTTTTAAGTGCCTACTCAATATTTCCACTTACATAGCAAACATGCATCTCGCACTTGTGATATCCAAAACTAACCTCTTGATTTTCCCCCAAGTCCTTCTCCTCCCAGTTCCCCATGGATTTGTGAATGGCTACAGTGTACCTTATGACAGAAGTCCCATTTTCAGAGGCCTTTTTACCTCTTGGTCAAAAACGTCGGAGTTAACTTCTTTCTTCCCCTCATATACAACCAATCACTCAGCAAGTTCTTTTTTTAAATCAGTTATACCTTCAACATGCACTCCATATTTAATTTAATTAATTATTAAAGCCCCTGATGCTACTGCACTGATCTAAGACAGCTTCTCACTGGACTATTGCAATACAAATATCTTAAATCTGCCCACCAGTTCTACATCTGCTCAACATCTCTCTTCCTTCTAGAACAGAAAAAATGATCTTTTCAGTAATGTCATACCATTTCCCTGATCCAAACCTTTTAAAAGCTGTTAAAACAGCTCCCCATCAAACACAGAATAAACTGAATAAAACAGAAGAAAACTGAATCTCCTTACAAGGGCCTACAAGGTTTTATATGATCTGACAACTGCCAAACTCTCTGGAGTCTCCTGAAATTCTCCCTCACTTACCAATCTACATCTCCCTGGCCTTCCTTTAAACACACCAACCCCACTGCCCCTGCAGGGACTTCACAATTGCTTTTCTCCTCACTGTTTGCTTATTCTCAGAATATGATATTGCACGTCACTTCATTCAGGTCTCTGCTTAAATATCACCTTTTCAGAACGCTTATCTTGACCACACACTAATAGACAGCCACTTTACAACATAACACTGAATCTTTCTAGCTGGTTGCCTTTTTCTTCATAGTACTTGTTGCTACCTAGAAATGTACTTTGTATTGTTGGTCTTCCTCACCAAAGTATAGGGCTGTGAGGGTTGGTGTCTTATCTGTTTTCTTCACTGCTTCATTCCCAGGGTTCAGGAAGGTTGGGTATCCAGTAGGTACTCAAACTTTTGTTAAATTAGTTAATTTAGCATATATGGTGTGCCAGACATTATTATTATTATCTGAGACAGCGTTTCACTCTGTCACCAAGGCTGGAGTACAGTGGCATGACCATGGCTCACTGAAACCTCCTGGCCTCACTGCAGCCTCCAGGTTGCCTGGGCTCAGGCAGTCTTCCTGCCTCAGCCTCCTGAGTAGCTGGGACTTCAGGTGAGAGCCATCATGCCTGGCTATTTTTATTTTCATTTTTTAAATAAAGATGGGGGTCTCACTATGTTGCCCAGGCTGCTCTTGAACTCCTGACCTCAAGCATTCTTCCTGTCTTGGCCTCCCAAAGTACGAAAATTACAAGCATGAGCCACTGTGCCTGACCCAGACTTATTTTTAATATAGGATCTGTATTAGTCCATTTTCATACTGCTATAAAGAACTGCCCAAGGCTAGGTAATTTATAAAGGAAAAAGGCTTAACTGACTCACAGTTCCACATAGCTGGGGAGGCCTCAGGAAACTTACAATCATGGCAGAAGGCAAAGAGGAAGCAAGGCACCTTCTTCACAAGGTGGCAGGAAAGAGAAGTCCCGAGCGAAGGAGGACAAGCCCCTTATAAAACCATCAGATCTTGTGAGAACTCACTCACTATCATGAGAAAACATGGGGGAAATGCCCCCATGATTCAATTACCTCCACCTGATCTCTCCTTTGACACGTGGAGATTATGGGGATTATGGAGATTACATTCAAGATGAGATCTGGGTGAGGACACAAAGCCTAACCATACCAGGATTCTCACAAGCATATTACTTAGGCATCAACATTTGTTCATAAAGCCTCCTGCTCCTAACATGTAATATTCATATATTTAATACAGAAACAGTATTTCATATCTATTTTTAAAGTAAACTTCCCACTTGCACAGTCTAGAAATGTGTATTCTTGCCCTATTGTCTATAAATTTTAGGTGTGTTGAGATTATGAATTTCTGAAAACCAAAATATTAAATAATATATGATCAACCGGTATAAACTTTTGGACTTTAGATGTGATACACACACATGCATACACACACACATAACATGTAAATAAATAAGAAAATAACCTAGTAGATATTTATTTGAGCCAGTTCATATCTATAAGGTAACATAACTTAAAAACACACACAATACAAGAAGCATATCTCTACTTTCTATGGGATGTTAATGTACCCTGCAGAAAGAATGGAAAAGAACCAAGTCTCCTTCTGGTTTGTTCCCAGTGTGTCTGAATTAGCTACGTTTATGCTCAAATAGCCTAAAATATTCACATTTCTTAAGGAAACTTTCTAGCAGCAGCCACTTTTTTCTACCTGCTAAAATAATCAGCATAGCAGGGAAAAGAGCCAACCACAGGGAAGACAAAAGAGTAGGGTCCTAAAATAAAACCACGGCTACACTTTTCCTGACATAGACTCAAATCCTTCCCTGCCTCAGAATCCTGCCTGCTTTTATGTTATGAGGGAGGGGGAGGGGGAGGGGGAGGGAGAAGGAGGGATGTGTGGTGTGGGGAAGAAAAACACAGAAACCAAGAATAGAATGCTTCACTCCTGCCTTGATAGAAGATATTTTCAGGTCTTTATCAGTTAAGAGAATACTATCTAAGACTCTAGACACTACTGATAGCTTCTTCTCAGGATATTTGATTCTGACATTCCTATTTTTGCATTGGCTATGATCTTTTAATATTTTACACTTCAGTCACTGGAGGCACCTGGAGTCTGTAAATTAAGACTTTTAGAAAGAACATAGAGACAACTATTCCCTTACATCTTTCCTAAAACTGATAAGTACCAATAAAAAATAAAATCCTGGACTGTTTTTTTTTTAGACTGTGTCTCACTCTGTTGCCCAGGCTGGAGTGCAGCAGCATGATCATAGCTCACTGCAGCCTCGGACTCTTGGGCTCAAGCAATCCTCCCACCTCACCTCCCAAGTATCAAAGACTGCAGGCATGCACCACTATGCCCAGGTAATTTCATTTTAATTTTGTTGTAGAGAAAGGGTTTCGCTATGTTACCTAGGGTGGTCTTAAACTCCAGTGCTTAAGTGATTCTGCCACCTCAGCCTCCCAAAGTGCTGAGATTACAGGACAGTCACCATGCCTAGCCCTTGACTTTTATTTCTGGTTTTTGGCTATCTTCTTTCAAATATCACAAAGCTTAATCACCAAATGTACAGCTGATATCTATTGGAGTACGGGGAGAAAAGGAAAGGTAATGAGAAAGAAAGAGAAGGAGAGGAAGAAAGGCAGCCAGAGAAACTTCTGATGGGCTGATGAGGAAAAGGTGAAATTGTGTTTTATTTTAAAAAGCGTAAATACTGAAGCAGGTTGTGCTATTATCTTCTGCTAGAGGAAATAACCATAAAGAGACTTCATTTCCTTAACTTGTATGTTGTAAATAAATAGTACTACATGTTGATGCTAGTTTAGGGGCGGTAAGATTTCAATAAAGTAAACAACAAAACAATGCCGGCACTGCTCAGTAAGGAGCAGCTCATGCTCGGAAACAGCAGAGCCTGAATGCCAAAGCACATCTATTCTAATTTCATCCACTCACTAGCTCAAGCTATTATCACTATATCTGTATTGGTTAAGGTAGTAGTAAAAATCTTCATTTTCTTTCAAGGACATAAGGTTCAAACAGGATATTCTTTACAAAACAAAAGTAAAACGACCATTAACAATGTTTATAGCACAGAATTTACATATGTACACTTATGCAATGAAATAGCTCCTAAAGGTAAAATCAAAAGAAAAATAGGTAAGTTGTATTTCAGAATATAAAACACAAATACAATTGCAACTTTTAACTACAGATTATAAGTAAGTAAAGGATAAAAAGAGGAAGCCTTGAGCAAGCGTTCCTGAGGAACTGATTTTAGACCAGCGAAGATAAGGAGAAGGGGCTTTTACACTGAGGACCAGAAAATAAACAGGAGATGGATACCAGGGAACTACTCCAGGCAAAGATAAAAGCATGCACAACAGCCCCAGTGCATGAAAAGCACTGGAGTGGCTAGAGCGTAGTAAGCAAGAGAAAAAGGATGTCAAGATGAGACTAGAGCCAGATCCTTCAAAACCCCATAAGCCATGTTCAGACTCATTAAAAAAAAAAAAAAAAAATCTCTTCTATGTGCATTTGAAGTGTTTCAAGGTCTAATACATTTGAAAAATGAAGTATTATTATATAGCACTTACTTGGAGATTCAAAATGTATATTAGCTAATTAGATTCCAAGAATTTTGATTCTAAAGAAATGTGCTGAATTTGATTTAATTTGGGGTTTTCCAAGTGCATTTGATCACTGAACACCTTTCATGTATCACACTTCCTAATTTCCTGCTGAACTTTCCTCCTTGGTGGATTATTTCCCACTTTCCCAAAGAAATTATATGGAACGAAGAGCTATAATAAACCTGGATGCCATTGTTATTTCGTGAATGAAGTGAAACACCATTTTCTATATCTGGGTATAAAAGGATCTAAACTATTCAAAAAGTATTACTTCATAGAGATAATGGGCTTCATTTCTACTCATCTGGACAAACTTTGACAGTCTATTCTCTAGCAGGTTCTGAGGTACTTGCTTAAGGAAGAGGATTATAAGATCTATATTCTAATTTGGGAGAATTAGCATAAATGTATTCATTTATTTATTCATTCAACAAATCTGTGTTTAAATGTGTCAAGCACCATTCCAGTCCTGAGGAATAAAGTGGGAAACAAGATAAACATGGTCTTTGCCCTGCTGAAACTTTTATTATTGGCTTCGTATAAAGGAGAAAAGCAAACTATGATAATAATGCAATCCAATAACTGGTATAATAAAACACATACTCACATGGAAGAGAACAAAGAATGGAGGTGAATAATAACAGCATTTTTAACACAGGGTGGGGAGTAAGAAAGAGAATCTGGATTTGAAAAATCATGTGGAAGTAAAATAAAGAGGGAAGGACCTGTAACAGTTAAATGTATGTGTGTTGTTTATGTGATACATCAATTCGAGCTCAACTGAGAAGTCTAATTTTAGAATAAACCATGGCAGTTATAAGAAACAATACTAATTCTTATAATATGCCAAGAACTGTTATAAGAAAATTATATATTTTACATATATATATATATATATATAAAAAACATATATATTTGTTGTTGTTGTTGTTCTTGTTATTTTCACTTTGTCACCCAGGCTGGAATGCAGTGGGCAGTGGTGCAATCATACCTCACTGTAACTTCAAACTCTTGGCCTCAAGCGATCCTCCCACCTAAGCCTCCAAAGCACTGGACTACAGGCTAGGATTACAGGAGTGAGCCACATTGCTTGGCCACATATTTTTAATATTTTAAATCTTATAATAGCTCCATGAGATAGGCACCCTTTAAATTAGTATTTTAAAGAAGAATATGAGACACAGAGTTTATGAGACTTGCCCACTCCAAATTAGAGACAGGGAGGGGCCATTTGTTCCAGAGGCTTTCATGACAATTCCAACCCCTTTCAGACTCAGGCGGCCCCCTTATATGTGTCTTCAACTATCAATACGTCACCCTGGGTTGCATTAGCATACATATTGTGTATCATCCTCTTTAGACTTTTAATTTCCTGAAATAGGGGCCATGTCTTTCTCTTCTTCAAGGTGACCAGGTGCAGCATAGTCTCTACAACAAAAAGTTACTGAATTCTTGAAAGAATGAATATCATGGCCATGAAGGAGACCTCAGGAAAAGCATACAGATAAGAACATGAAGAAGACCCTAGATGGAATCTTGTGGACTCTAACAGTGAGGGCAAGAGCTCTGGGAAATCTGAAAACTGATTTATTCATGTGATCATTGTGGAAGAATGGCAAATGATAGAAATCAAAAATTCTGATCAGAGTTAGGCAAAATGCCAAAGAGCCAGTGATGAGTTTCTTCATTACTGCTAACATTGTTTTCTCTATGTAAATGATCATGTCATATTTACAAAATTTAATTAATGAAACTTCTTTGAAAATTCATGACAAAACTCAATTGAACAGTCTGTTTCACCATATATTTATATATTCTACCCATCATTTAAGCAAATAGCCTACCCTTTAAAATATAAAGGAGAAAGAACAATTGCATATATATATATATATATATATATATATATATATATATATAGCAACAGAGTATGTTACTAAATTATTTATTTCATCTTAATCCCAGGATAACTAAATTTTATACAACTAAATCATTCATTCTAATTCACTTATGCCTGAGTCATATTTGAGAGGTAAAAACAAGCCAAAATAATTACTTACATGTGTTTACTGGCTGACAAATTGGTGATTTTACTGGTAGTTGTATAAAACAATTCTTGGCAACTGATTAATAATTAGTGACTATTATGTTTAAGTTTTTTTTTTTTTTTTTTTTTTATTATACTCTAAGTTTTAGGGTACATGTGCACATTGTGCAGGTTAGTTACATATGTATACATGTGCCATGCTGGTGCGCTGCACCCACTAACGTGTCATCTAGCATTAGGTGTATCTCCCAATGCTATCCCTCCCCCCTCCCCCGACCCCACCACAGTCCCCAGAGTGTGATATTCCCCTTCCTGTGTCCATGTGATCTCATTGTTCAATTCCCACCTATGAGTGAGAATATGCGGTGTTTGGTTTTTTGTTCTTGCGATAGTTTCCTGAGAATGATGGTTTCCAATTTCATCCATGTCCCTACAAAGGACATGAACTCATCATTTTTTATGGCTGCATAGTATTCCATGGTGTATATGTGCCACATTTTCTTAATCCAGTCTATTACATGTTTAATTTCTTAAGAGACATTTAGTACTTTTCATAAAACATACACTTTTTTAGTTTATTGCTACTAAAAGGGTTTATTGAAAAATAAAATATTATAACCACCTAACTCAATAAATGGATGTAGATTTACCCAATGTAATGATTACAAAGCTGTTAACAGCAAGAGCCTTCAGACTACTTGCTATACCTGTGTCATTCAATGCAGTTCACATGGGGCTACTGAGCCCTGGAAACCTGGCTAGGGAGGCCACAAAACTGGATGTTTAATTGTATTTTTTATATATTTTTTATTATTATTATTATACTTTAAGTTTTAGGGTACATGTGCACAACATGCAGGTTTGTTACATATGTATACATGGGCCATGTTGGTGTGCTGCACCCATTAACTTGTCATTTAGCATTAGGTATAATTCCTAATGCTATCCCTCCCGCCTCCCCCCACCCCACAACAGTCCCCGGTGTGTGATCTTCCCCTTCCTGTGTCCATGTGTTCTCATTGTTCAATTCCCACGTATGAGTGAGAACATGCAGTGTTTGGTTTTTTGTCCTTGCGACAGTTTACTGAGAATGATGGTTTCCAGCTTCATCCATGTCCCTACCAAGGACATGAACTCATCATTTTTTATGGCTGCATGGTATTCCATGATGTATATGTGCCACATTTTCTTAATCCAGTCTATCATTGTTGGACATCTGGGTTGGTTCCAAGTCTTTGCTATTGTGAATAGTGCCACATGCTTCAAAGAGAATAAAATACCTAGGAATCCAACTTACAAAAGGATGTGAAGGACCTCTTCGAGGAGAACTACAAACCACTACTCAATGAAATAAAAGAGGATACAAACAAATGGAAGAACATTCCATGCTCATGGGTAGGAAGAATCAATATCGTGAAAATGGCCATCCCCATCAAGCTACCAATGACTTCCCCATCAAGCTACCAATGTCTTTCTTCACAGAACTGGAAAAAACTATTTTAAAGTTCATATGGAAACGAAAAAGAGCCCGCATTGCCAAGTCAATCCTAAGCCAAAAGAACAAAGCTGGAGGCATCACGCTACCTGACTTCAAACTATTTTATATTGATGTAGATTTAAAAACTGGCACCCAGTTCCATTACTACAAAATTTAAGTATGTTTGAAACAACTCAGGTAGGTGAATCAACTTTTTGCTGTAAAATTATGAATATTAAATACACATCAACTATTTCTGATGAAAAATTAACATCCAAATTGAGATGTGCCCTAAGTGTAAAATACACACCAAATTTCCAAAACGTAATACCTCTAAAATACGTCAAATACCTTGTTTCTCAACTGATTTTTACATTGGTTTACCATTGATTACATGTTGAAATAATACTTTAAACATGTAATCAGTAGAGTTAAACTAGCCAATGTTATAGAAAATAGCTTAAAATCCTGTTTTCCTCTCAGAAAAGAGCATCATAAAATAGGATCCTAAGAAATATATAAGATGTTCCCTAGGCTGTGCATGGTGGCTCATGCCTATAATCCTAGCACTTTCAGAGGCTGAAGTGGGAGGATCACTTGAGCTCTGGAGGTGGAGACCAGCCTGGGCAACATAGGAAGGCCCCATCTCTACAAAAAATAAAAATAATTAGCCAGGCATGGTGGCATTTGCCATTGGTCCTAGCTACTCAGTAGGCTTAGGTGGGAGGATTGCTTGGGTATGGGAGGTCAAGGCTGTCACGAGCCATGACTGTGCCACTGCACTCCAGCCTGGGCAACAGAGGGAGACTCTCTCTTTAAAAAGAAAAAAAGAAAGATATTCCCTGATATAAAATGCAAAATAAGCAAGGTAGTCAATTCAATAACTGATTAGTAATAGCCTTTGGCACCTGGACACTTAAAACATAAGTGGAGGAATGCTTCATTTATTCGACATTGGAGGGAAACAAAGTAGTCCACATAAAATCTACACAGTAATCCCTCATTAAAACACAGTAGACCGGTAACTTTAACTTAATCTCTAAAACAACATTTAAAAATTTAACAATGACCAGGCGTGGTGGCTCACACCTGTAATCCCAGCACTTTGGAAGGCCAAGGTGGGCAGATCACAAGGTCAGGAGATCGAAAACATCCTGGCCAACATGGTGAAACCCCGTCTCTACTAAAATACAAAAAAAAAAACAAAAAATTAGCCAGGTGTGGTGGTGTGCACCTGTAGTCCCAGGTACTCAGAAGGCTGAGGCAGGAGAATCACTTGAACCTGGGAGGCAGAAATTGTCGTAAGCCGAGATTGCACCACTGCACTACAGCCTGGCAACAGAGCAAGACTCTGTCTCAAAAAAAAAAAAAACATAAAAAATAAAAAATTTTTAATGGAAACACTTTGAAATTATATTTTACTTTTTTTATTATACTTTAAGTTCTGGGATACATGTGCAGAATGTGCAGGTTTGTTACACAGATATACATGTGCCGTGGTCATCTACATTAGGTATTTCTCCAACCTGTCATCTACATTAGGTATTTCTCCAAATGCTATCCCTCCCCTTGTCTCCCACCCCCCAATAGGCCCTGGTGTGTGATGTTCCCCTCTCTATCCTCATATGTTCTCATTGTTTGACTCCGATTTATCAGTGAGAACATGCAGTGTTTGGTTTTCTGTTCCTGTGTTAGTTTGCTGAGAATGACGGTTTCCAGCTTCATCCATGCCCCTGCAAAGGACATGAACTCATTCTTTTTTTATGGCTGCATAGTATTCCATGGTGTACATGTGCCACATTTTCTTTATCCAGTCTAATATTGATGGGCATTTGGGTTGGTTCCAAGTCTTTGCTATTGTGAATAGTGCTGCAATAAACATATGTGGGCATGTGTCTTTATAGTAGAATGATCTATCTATCTGACAAAGAGCTAATATCCAGAGTCTACAAAGAACTTAAACAAATTTACGAGAAAAAAACAAACAACCCCATCAAAAAGTGGGCAAAGGATATGAACAGACACTTTTCAAAAGAAGACATTTATGTGGCCAACAAAGATGAAAAAAAAGCTCATCATCACTGGTCATTAGAGAAATGCAAATCAAAACCACAATGAGATACCATCTCATGCCAGTCAGAAAGGTAATCATTAAAAAGCCAGGAAACAACAGATGCTGGGAGGATGTGGAGAAATAGGAACGCTTTTACACTGTTGGTGGGGGTGTAAATTAGTTCAACCATTGTGGACAGTGTGGAGATTCCTCAAGGATCTAGAACTAGAAATATCATTTGACCCAGCAATCCCATTACTAGGTATATACCCAAAGGATTATATATTTTACTTTTTCCTGGCATCTTAAAAAGAAATTTTGAACATGACTTGAAGTTTATTTTTTAATGACTCAGACTCATTATCATCAATTATTATACTATACTGCAGTCTAACAATGCCCAGAGGGACAATTACACTGTGCGGAGCTGTTTGCTGCTGCACGTAAATGGCCTTACAATGCTGGGCATTCAGTTTTGGTTTCTGACCTTGAGGCACTTTCTCTTTCTTCCATTGTTTTTTGCTGTGACTTCTCAATACTGTTAGATATTGATCACAGTTGGTCAGTTCCACAATTGTTCTGAATTTTGTCCTTCTACCAAAAAATAGCTTGACATCCTTTTAAAAATAGTGTGATACAACAACGAACAAATATCCATAAACATTATGGCACATGGTTTGGCTCATGAAAAAAATATTATTACCTGTTTCAATGCTTGTAGTTATGTTTCAGAGAACGAGGGTGGCTAGTAAGTCTGACCACAGATAATCATGACAATGATATTGTGATGACAGTGACAATGACAATTATCACAACTATAATTGAGACACTGGGGGAAGTGTGTAATGAGCCCTTCACAATTATACAAGGTAGATAAACTATAATCTTATTAGTATTTTACAGAGGGGGAAATTAAAGTTAAACTTAGAAAGATTAACCTGGCTGTGGTTACATGCTAGTAAGTGATGAACTAGTATTTGAGCCCAGGCCTATACCTATTCTCTATACTGCCTGCAAGGTCAGTATCTATATTTATATTTTAAAAACAAATTAACAGCAACTTAGATGCAAAGCATTAAAAGAAACAAGGTTACCAAATTTTAACTATACAGATTTCTTTAATAAAGTTGTATTCTGCTTTACTGAACCTGATATTAAAAGACATTTATTTTGTTTATTCCTCTACTACTTAAAATCAAGGAGATATTACACAATTCTGCTAGGTGATAATATACTAATAGTTGAGGTTTATAAAATTACCATTGCTAATACAAAATAGAGTATTAAATACTATATTTAATCTATGAAGGTATAGTTGTCCTTATTAGATTTGACTTATGCCTTAATTTATTTGGTAGTTTGGTAGAATCTGATTTGTTGCGTGTCTCCTAAGGCACATTTTGGAACCCAGAGATAGCCTTAGTGACTGGTTTTTATCCATCCTGCATGTATGTTGCTTTGGTATGCACAGTGAATGAACATTTTAAACTAATTGTATGACATTTTAACATAGGGAGGTTTCATATAAAATGTGGGCTCCTGACTTAAATAACT
The DNA here is from genome assembly GCF_000001405.40 of Homo sapiens. NCBI lineage: Eukaryota > Metazoa > Chordata > Mammalia > Primates > Hominidae > Homo > Homo sapiens. The sequence goes on from NC_000003.12 coordinate 81,633,995, forward strand.
AGAAGATGTGGCTCCATGGGTCCACATTCTCAACACGAAAGCAACTGACAATTGTATTCGAAATGGTTTGTGAATGGCAGCCACCTCAGAGGAGATCCGTTTGCCAGGTTGCCAGTAAGAACCACCTGGCCTGCTTCTCTCAGTTACCTGCCTCGTTCGCGAGTCCTGCTTTTATCCTTTAGTAAAAATCTGAAAGTATAACTCCAAACTTTCCATGATATTCTATATTCTAGTTGTTGCACATTTTCAATCGTATTATTTTATGCAGTCTGAACCACCGCCCTATGGCACATAAATAATATCATTATGAGTTCTTTATACATGAAACTGAAACTCAAATGTAAGCAGCTTGGTTCAAGAGCAGAGAGGTAAAGATCATCCAATTCTAAAACCACCCACTTTATATTGTGTATTAAATCAATTAATCTTAATTCTATATAGTATACATGATTATTGCTATTATTAGTGTTGTAATTAGCATTTTGGGGGGAAACATCTTGTGTGGCTTTCTTCACTGTTTTCAGTACTAACGAACAGGAATCTATCACATCACTTTGCAGTGTTGCCGCCATGGCAAGCATGATGGTGAAAAGTTTATGACAGAGACTTGAGAGAGAGAGAAAAAGAGAGAGAAGGAGAGATCAAGAGACAGGGGGAAAAAAGAGAGGTATTTTACTTTACATAAAATATATCCCATGAGAAACAACAAATTATTAACTTTCCTTTCACATTTAATATGGAAACAACAAATATACCACTAAAATTTAAAAATAAACAACTATTCCAAATGTCACATGGTGGGAAAGACAATGGAGAAAAGTTAGTGAAGGAACATGTGGCAGGGAAGCATGGTAGGGACTAGATGAATTATTTTATATCAAGTGGCCTGAGAAGCTTCTAAAGCACCTAATGCTTCAAAACTGCATGAATGAAGGTATGACAGTAACCATCATGAATATCATAATCTCACAAAGGCAAGGGGAACCCACCTGGACAGCTCATCGGCCTCCTTCACTGTTCTTAACACAGTGTTAAGAACAGAGCTCCAGTCTCAGACAACTTGGCTATCATGCTGTTTTGTTTCCTAACGTGCTATGAGAAAATGTAACTGTAACTGCCCCCAAGTTTTAATGATGCTTTCAACAGACAGAATTTGAAAGGCTATACAGGTAAAAGTCTAATCTTGGGGAGACAGTTAAACCTAGAAGTAGACAAGGAACCAAATCCTGTGGCTATCGGCTTCTCTTACATATGGTGAAAGAAACAGAAGGAAGACCGAAGATCCAAGTTACAACTCAATAGTGATGCCTCAACATTATAAAATGTGGATGGGAAATGCAGAAGTTAGATAAAAATCTGCCTGCTCACTAATCTAAGTTAATGGGAATAAGGTCCTCAAAAATGAATAATTTTATATTACTTATATATGGATGCTTTCGAAATTATAAGAAAAACCTATATTTTCTGAAAGTAAGTGACTCAATGTAACATGAGTTATTTATCTGCAGCATAACACTAAGGAAATCATTCAGCTAGAAAACCATGAAATATCTCTTCATAACTTCAAAACTGCTAGTCTATTCTGTAGAAAATAGACATGTTTAAACAAGCTGTTTTGCTACACCCAGATAAAAACAGAAAAATTGATTTTTTCCCACTTTTAACCTGCTTATTTAAAAAGGTCATAAACAAAACCATTATTATTATAGATACCACATAATTCCCAGACTTAAATGGATAATCACTTGAATAGGGACCTTAGGACCATTTTCACAAGCATGCACCAACCATTGTTTTAAGCGAAAGAAAGAAAATAGAGAGATGTTTTAGGGCAATGAGCAGCATTTTTAAACTTAAGGTAAATTACCCAGCAGAACTGTCCTACTTCAGCATGAGTTTGGATTTGAGAAGGTGAATGTTATAGGTGAGTAAGACGTAAATACTCAAGATACTTTCAAAATATCCCTGTGCTCCTAAATTTTAGGCTTGTGGGGAATAAACGAGGCAGATAATACCAGGAACAAAGTTTATACAAAGACGGTAAATCCTTACTCCTGTGCTACACTCTGCATCAACAGAAACTTTTCTGCTAGACTGAGTAATCTCATAAACCCTGTGAGAGAAGTTATATTTCTACCATTCAAACTCAAATCCAGACAGATTGGATTGATATAGCAACTTTCTTAATCTCTTTTACAGAAGAGAATTAGTCTGTCTGAATTTTGAAGCTAACTCTACTTTATTTGAAAGAGTAGTAGATTTAACTGTTCTCCTTAATCAAGCTGAAATAAGATTCTGGTTTTAACAAGGAAGAAATGCTGAAAGGGAAAGAAAAAATATTAAGAAAACAGGAAGACTTTTAATGGGACACTCAGTACTCTCAAAAGTTATTAACATACTGTGAGATTATAATATTCTTAGTGAAGAACAGGCTATAAGTTACTGCTTATTTCTTACTGTCTGACTTCCTTTGGAATAGTTAGCTGTTTGCTAAACTATGTCCAAAATGTCTTTTAATCATCCATCATTTGTTTTTTGGCTTTTTTTTTTTTTGAAATGGAATTTTGCTCTTGTTGTCCAGGCTGGAGTGCAATGGCGCAATCTCGGCTCACTGCAACCTCCGCCTCCCAGGTTCAAGCAATTCTCCTGCCTCAGCCTCCCAAGTAGGTGGGATTACAGGCATGCACCACCACACCCAGCTAATTTTGTATTTTTAGTAGAGACAGGGTTTCTCTATATTGGTCAGGCTGGTTTTGAACTCCCAATCTCAGGTGATCAGCCCCCCTTGGCCTCCCAAAATGCCGGGATTACAGGTGTGAGCCGCCATGTCCAGCCATCATTTGTTTTTGTAAAGCATATAAGGCAGGTGTTTATATGTCTAAAATGATGCTATATTACTTCAATTATAAAAAAATTCAGTGCTTTGAAATCTATCCAGTGAAATTAAAAACAAATACATTAGCTCTCCCTTATTTTTAGGAGATACAGTCCAAGACTGCCAGTGGATGCCTGAAACCATGGATAATACCAAACCCTATATATACTGTGTCTTTATACATACATACCTATGATAAAGTTTCATGTATAAATTAGGCAAAATAAGAGATTAACAATAACTAATAAAATAGAACAATTATAATAATATACTGTAATAAAATTTATGTGAATGTAATCTTTCTTTCTCTCAAAATGTAATACTGTACTCACTCTTCTTCTTGTGATGCTATGAAGATAAGGTACCTATATGATGAAGTGAGGTGAATGACCTCATTGTGACATAGCATTAGGCTACTATTGAAAACTAATAAAAAACTTATGAAATGCTTATTTCTGGAATTTTCCATTTAATATTTTCAAGCTAAAGTACTATGAGTAACTGAAATCACAGAAAGCAAAACCACAGATAAATGGGGGCGCCTACTGTTCTCTGAAAGGAGTGATTTTTTTAAGTCTATCTCTCCAAAATTTCTGACAAACATATGCTCCAAGCATATATATTGAAAAATGCAGCATAGTATATGTGTATCTCTAACTTTACCAAATAATACCAAATTGTTTTCAAATGTGGTTGTACATATTTATCCTTTGTATGCTATTTTTTCTGTATTTTTTTTGTTTTTGTCATTGGGTGAATTGTTCTCTTTGTAATTCAATGACAAAATCAAAAAGTAGTGTATGACTTAAAAATCCTCTTAAAAATAATTTTAGAATTTTCCATTCATGTCATGGTTGCTTAGTTTTTAAATAATCTTGCTAATCATGATGGTGTCATATACTCGTTAGCTAGTATACTGATGCATAATAACCCTCAAGTTAATATTTATCATTGAGAACTGATTTGGTCATGATGTAATATCATATATAATTAAGCTAAAATTTTGTTTAGAATACTTACATCTATGGTCATGAGGGCTTACCTCAGGAATGCAAGACTGGCTTACCATTAAAAATCAATTCTAATTAACCATAGAAAAGCCATATGGTAAGATATCATAGAATAATTACCTCAGATACAAAAATCCACTCTGAGCAGGGAGAACCCCTTGAATTTCCTTCCACATACTAACTTGTAGAAAATGCCCACCATGGTTAAGAAGTCCCAAATATTATATATAGTGTCTATCCTAAGAGTACTTTATTCTACATACTTATGACCCTAAAAAGACCAATTGGACTCACTTTTGTTTCTGAAAACAACTCTAGTTGCTCAAGAAAAGAGAGTATCTTTTAGCCTAATGGTTACCATATTATGAACTCAAGCTGATGAAATATAACTATATTAATTTTGTGTCCAAACATAAGTTTAAGGAGGAAAAACATGAGCATTAGATCTACTTTGCTATCTCCTTTAGAAGTCAGTATTTTATCTTTGAAAGAAATATTTAACGAACAAAAGATATTCATTTGAAGATTTAGTAATGGTTATGGCATAGCAGTTATTTAAATCCAACAAGTTTTCATTGTCTTAAAAGTGCATTTATGTAGTGCCAGAGGAATATGCAAACAGAATTTAAAACTGGGACCACTACATTATATTCATTATTACTAATTCTAGAAACTCCTGAAACTTATGGGTGACACACTTGTCAGAAAGTTCTCTTTACCAAATAAAGGACAACCCAATCTCTGTGATGAACTGTCATTACTAATTTAGCAAAGCTAGAAGGCAGTTCAGCTGAGTAGACAGAAAATTAAACATGGGCAGCTCCTGATTGGAAATTTATTCATAGCAGGTAATGAAATAGCACAGTCAGGATCTCTGGTATTACTCAGAGTAAGAGATTTAATTCTGGTAACTTTGATGATGGCACTTGAATCACAGATTCTAAATGGTGACAGGTTGTGACATATAGATAGGATAAAATGAGCATCAGCAACATATCTCTACAGAAGCAATTCTATAACATCAATTTTTTCAAACAGTAAATATAATAATTTCAAAAATTATGACAAAAGTTTTCAAAGAAGAGGCTTAGGTCTTAAGCAAGCCATGTGCCATATTTATGTCTGTTTGTCAATGGGTTATAAAATTAATCAGCCTAACAAATGTAAGGGGTGGAAAAATTTGTATTTAAAATATGAAACATAAATTGTAATTTCTGATTTCATCTGAATAAGGAACAAACTCAAAATTACAGGCAGAGTAGCTATTTTATGAAGAGGGTGAAAGTGAAGGATTGGGTTATGTATTTCTATGCATGTAAGGAATATTCATTAAATGCATTCACATATAGCTAAATACAAGTATGTTGTTCACATTTTTCAAATATAGTTTTTTTATTTTGAATTTTGTGTGCCTTTTTAAATTTTCTAATTACAATGGCATTATTTTATAATGAAAGGTGTATTTTTTTTTAAAAAAAATGGCTATTTCAGACATAACTCTCTGATAATTCTCATAACAGAAATATGGCTGAGTAAATAATATTTCCACATGAACAGGTATTTCAATACATCTATTTTGAATTTGTAAAGTAGCATATTCGTTGTGTGTGGTTAAAATTACTTAACGCCCCTTCGAAGGGAGGGGCGTTAAGGAATTTTAAGGATATGTGCAAAAATTCTCTTATCTTTACCTAACAAGTTTTATTAGATAAACTAACAAGTTTTCAAGTTTTCTTGAAACTGTGATTGACCAGTAGTTTTCAACAGAAATGGCACTCTGCCATGTTCTAAACCCAGACCATATAAAATGGCAGCTTGCATATCCTGTCTTTTGGGACTATCGCTCTTGTGAGAAAGCCCAAGTTGTCTGTGGAGTGGGCTAGGAGGAGGGGATTTGGGGTCCTCAATCTCACAACCAAGGCTGAGCTCCTAGCTGACAGCCAGCACCAACCGTAGGTCACATGAGTGAACCATCCTGAAAGCAGATGCTCTGTCCCCTATATGAGCCACCCCAGGGGACACAAGGTGAAGAAAAGAAGAGCAGTCCACACTGAGGTATACCCAAATTGTGAGTTTGGGAACAAAATAAATATTGCTGTTAAGTCACTAAATTTTTGGCTTACTAAGCAGCAATAAATAACCAAAAGAGCAAAGTAGGACTTTGATCATGATTGCTAAGAAGTATTTGTTTAAATGAATTTATATACACTGGCTTTGGAGGATTTTATCTATATTGTTTAATAATGTCATGACTAATTGTGATGGTTTATACTGACTGTCAACTTGATTGGATTGAAGGATGCAAAGTATTGTTCCTGGATATGTCTGTAAGGGTGTTGCCAAAGGAGATTAACATTTGAGTCAGTGGACTGGAAAAGGCAGACCTACCCTCAGTCTCGGTGGGCACCATCTCATCAGCTGCCAGCACAGCCAGAATAAAAGCAGGCAGAGGAATGTGGAAAAACTAGACTAGCTTAGTCTTCCAGCCTCCATCTTTCTCCTGTACTGGACGCTTCCTGTCCTCGAATATCAAATTCCAAGTTCTTCAGCTTTTGGACTCTTGGGCCTTTCACCACAGACTGAAGGCTGCACTATCGGCTTCCCTACTTTTGAGGTTTGGGGACTCAGACTAGCTCCCTGGCTCTTCAACTTGCAGATGACCTATTGTGGGAATTCACCTTGTGATCCTATGAGTCAGTTCTCGTAATAAACTCCCCTTGATAAATACATATAGCTTCATATATAAATATATATATATATCCTATTAGTTCTCTCCTGCTAGAGAACCCTAATACATTAATAGTATAAACCTATATAGAAAATACTAATTCTATAAAATGGGAAAATTTAGATATTGGTCAAACAGAATGACATGTAGAATAATACAAATGCAATTTAATAAAACTATATTTACAGAGGACTAAGTCTATATGACAGCAGAAAAAAAACAAATAAAATGGTCACAATAAAAAATAAATTAAGCTAAAACTATAGGATGCTTTATTTACCAAAAGCATGCACATGAGAAAGATTAATAGTTAATTCAATAAAAAAGAAGCCGAGTATTAAATAACAATGTTAAGTTTGTCTCAATTTCTGTGATAGAAATGTTTTTGAAAACAATGATGTATGATCCCTTTTGTTTAGAAAATTGGCTAAGTTTAAATGCACTTTGGTACAACAAGGTACACTACAATAAACATGTGAATAAAATAAAAATGTTGTATAACATAAAAATCCATCCACTTAATGTATTTCTTTTTAAGGTATAATTCTACAGAAGAATTGTTTTAAAACATAAAAATCTAACTATTTAATAAATATATTTCTTTCATAAGGCACAGTTCTACAAAATAGAGTCAACCCTCCTTCATCCAATTATAAACCAGAGAGTTCAATTAATTGAATTTCTTGGGCATATTCTACTTCTATAAGATGTACTCAATGTAATTAGTAGAGTTATGTAATTGCAGTTTTTTGCCAATAAAAGTAAGGGCAAAAACCACAATTACTTTTGCACCAACCTAATATATCACAGAATTAACACAGATTTAGTCTTTTTTATTTGCCATAAATCTGTGGCATAATAATAAATGTTCAAAAGGTGACATGAATACAAAATACCTTCATGAGCAAAACTATATTAGTCCCCAAACTCTGCCTCCTTCTATAATAAAAAGCCTGAGAATAAGAATGATTAATCAGTTTGTACCAGAGTGAGTCTAGGCCAGGAACCCAGCTACCATCTTGTTTCTTTTCTCACCTATTACACTGTCTTATCTGGCATGAGTGATTCCTGAATGGCTATGAAATATAAAATAATGTATGATATCCAGAAATAATGTATGAATTTCCTTCATATATAAGTCATCTAATTTAGGTTGAAAAATGAGACCTCTTCATTTTATAAAATTATTTGCTGAGACATTTTTCTATACAGCCTATTTTCTAGGTATATTTATGTTTATGTATGATGCAACACTGGAAAGAAAATTCATTAATTTTTTTCAAAAATACATACACATATATAAAATATATATAATATGTATATAATACATATACATATTTCAAATATGTATATGTATTATAAAAATATGTATTATACATTACTTGATACTTTGCTTTTAATATGCTTGACATTTTCATTTTTTCACTTACAATAAATAATAAACACAAGTTCATGGTTTTTTAACTTGTCTTTTTAATTTTTGCCATATGCTATTTAATCACGTAAAACACTCTTCTCCTTAAATGGTAGAAGAGGTCAGAGATCTGTCTGATCTTAACAAATGGTTTCAACACTAAGCCTTAGTTTATTTATCTGTAAGATGGCTATAACAATAGTGTTTACCACATGTAAGTAGAGTTGCTGTGCAGATTAAATAAGATAAAATAGGTAGCTAATATATCTAAAACACTTGGCACCATACATGAAACATATTATATACTAGTAACTGTTGTTTTATAGTTATAAATTAATTTAGCTGTAATCAAAACCATGTAATTTTAAGATATGAAGCAATGAAGTATGATTTTTTTAAATGGCCTACTTAAAACAATGTATTTCTCTAGTAAAAGGAGACTGGCTATGGTTTAAGTCAAATTGATAAAGTGGCCTTTTAGATATTAAAAAAAAATGATTCACAGTAAAATTTTTAAATGATTATATAACCAATATATTTTACATGGCGTAAGATATGTAAAATTGAAATTTAATGAAATATACCACAAATACATGTGCTATACAAAACAAGGTAAAATCCCCTGTACAACAAAAATAAATCCAATTAAGAACATTAAGTACCAGTGAGAGAGTACACACACAATGAATTTAGTGAAATTCTTAAAAATTAATGTTAAACAGCAACAATAGAAAACATTTCTATATTGTATGTACCTACCTGGAGTAGGCAAACAATCTGCTATCCCAAAGATCATGAGTCCCTCTAGGTCCAGAATGAAAATAACAGGAATCTGTCCCATCAAACATATTCAATCCATCTGCTGAATTTTTTGAAGCATGGCTGTGTACCACATCTAAGAGGACTATGATACCCATGGAATGAGCTGTGTCTACCAGTTCTTGTAGCTCTTCAGGTGTTCCATAACGGCTAACAATGAAGAACACAGCAAAAAGAAGATTACATCACATTTAGAGGAAACAGCCGATTGTGCAGCAATTGTTTCACCATCGCAGTACTAGATACTTTAAATATCCAAACAGCATGTGACATGATACCTGGATACAACTCAAATTTGCTTAATATCAAATATTAAGCAAATTTAAAACCATCAAGTTAGAAAATAATTTAAATCGGGTTATTAAATGTAGATTTATACCCCAACCAAAATTCACATTTTGAGGATGTAAATAATAAAACTCTGCTTCTCTATTTTCAGAGCTTCTGATTTCCACCTGAAGCAAGTCATTCCTGCTCTGTTTGCCCACTGCCCATTACTTACAGGGTGTACATTTGAGATTGAGGGGCTCTTCAAGAATTTATTTGAATATCCATGGTACCTTGATTGAGGTTATCCCTCCTGCACTTATTCCAAAAACAGAATGCCCACAGTTACCAGTGGGCCAAGACAATGTGCCACGTTTGTCACCACCCAAGTAAATAAGATGGGTAGCTCACAAGCAGGTGTGTTTGTGTCAAAGGTACCCCCTAGTCTGAATGAAATAGGTAACAAAAATTACTCACAGAAGAATGCCTTTCTTAACCTGTGTAAAATTTTGACATTATAGTCATCCACAGCATCAACTTTGCCCTTTAAATAGTCACCTTTGCCTTCAATTGTTTACTGTCTCTCTTCCTCACTCGACTATATGCTCCTTGAGGGCAGCGGCTGTTACTATCAGGCTCCTCATGATATGGTACAGTGCTAAGTATACAGCAAGTCTCCCAATAGCCAACTCCACTGAGCAGCAAGAGCTGTCTTTTTAAACTGGAAATAAGATCATGTTACCTACTTAAAATCATACTTGTGCTCCCATTCATCCCAGGGTGAAGACCATTGTCCTGATCGTGGCCTACTGCACCATCTACTGGCTCTTTCCAATAATGCTAATTATCTTATGACACTCTCCCACACCCTCTTTTTATTCCAGCCACCTATCCATTTTTATACTCATTGAACATGTTCAATAATAAACAGCCTTAAAGTTTTTTTTTTCATTCAGCCATTCACTCATTCCTTCATTCATTCCTTTATTTGTTTGCCACTTACTAAAGTCATCTACCACGTACCATGACATTTTCTATGTTCTGGAGATACACCAGCGAAAAAAATAAACACCACTGATCATATGGAATTTACATTCCCATTGGGAGACAACAAACAAGCAAAATACATAGAATGTCGATAATAATAAGTGTCCTAAAGAAAACAAAGAAAAGCCACTGGTGGGGAGGGAAGGTTTGCTATTTTAAATAGGGTCATCAGTTAAAGTTTCATGGAAAAGGCAACATTTGAGCAAGAAAAAAAGTAAGAAGCAAGGCATAATAATATCTAAGGGTAAGAGCATTCAGACAGAAAGGAACAGCAGGTGCAGGGGACTGGGGCAGGGTTGAGCTAAGAGCATTTGAAGAAAACCAAACAGGCTACTCTAACTGGAATGGTCAAGAAAGAAAAGAGGTGAGCTCTAAGAGTCAGGCAAGAAGCACATCAAGTGAGGCCTTGGGAACCAGTGTGAGGCCTTTTGCTTTTATTCTGAAGGAGACAGGGATTCATTACGGTTCTGGGCAAAAGAGCGACATGATCTGACTTTAATTTTTAAATGATTACTCTGGCCACTGTGCAGAAAAATTGACCATTAATTGGTAGAACAAAGGTAAGAGAAGGGGAAAGACAGCATGAGAAAACAGAGTGACCAGTTAAAGAGCTATTGAAATAACCCAGGTAAAAGATAATTGCAAGTTGGACATGGGTGGTGGCAGTGGGGGCAGTTGAAGCAGCCAGATTTGGGATATATTTTGAAGTTACAGATGGCTAGATTTTTTAATAGCTAGCGTGTAGGGAGGAACAGAAAGGGACAAGTCCAGTATAATGCCAAGATTTTTGGCTTGAACAACTAGAAGATGAAAATGTCATTTACTGAATTAGAGAAGATGGCAGGGGGAGGAAGTTTGAAGTTAAGATCAGAAATTTAATTTTGGACACATGAAGTTTGATATATGTATTAGATACTCCAACATCAAATATATACTTTCTGAAGTTCATAAGATAGGTCAGAGAGACTTAAGTTTGGGAGTTAACATATAGCATATATTTAAGCTACAAAACTGGATGAGACTTGATGAGATCCTCCCGAATATTTCATACAGATGAAGAAGAGAATGGAACTAAGTTCTGATTATTGGGACGTCCAATATTTAGTGGTAGTAAAGATGATGAGGAAAGAGCAAAGGAAATTAATAATAAGCAACAAGTGAGGTGGGAAAAGCAACAAGAGGAGGTTAAAATATTCTGGAAGCCAGGGAAAGAAAAAGGTTTCAAGAAGGTGACAGTAACCAGCTGTACCAAGGGGTGCTGACAGCTTAAGTAAGCTAAGAATTGTTCATTGTCCTCAACAATGTGAAGGTCACTAATACCCTTGACAAAAGCAACTTCAGTAAAGAGGCAGACCGCATACTTGGAGTGGGCTCAGGAAAGAACCAGAGTGGAGGATTTGGAGACAGTATTATAGATAACTTATTGAGGGAGAACTAATATAAAGAGAAACAGGTAAATGAACCAGTATCTTTTTTCTGTCTGGAATGTCACCTATTTACGCCCACTTCACCGCTTTCCCCAGTTAACTCTTAGTCGTGTTTTAGATCTCACTTGCAGTATTTGTTCTGATCTATTCTAAACTGATCAGACTTCTGATTATAGTTCCCTGTCATTTTCATTTTAGCTTTTATTACAGTTAAAAATAATAATCTGTATGAATGATGATGGGAGCAATGTCTATATGCCATACATCATAAACTCCATGACACTGAGTGTTGGACTTCTTCGGTCTGTGGTCTTTTAGGTCAGCACCTCTTTAATTGCATAGAATCCCTTGGTGTCTTTTCTGTCCAGAGAGAATTATTCCATCCATTTCAGTCTGGAGGGAAGGGCAGCCCTTCTGTGAGTAGTAATTGTTGTACCAAGGGACTCTTCGGTGACCTTCCTAGATGAGTCAATCTCTTTCCAGAAAACGATGTGCTCTCTCACAATAATGGCTTTCATAGGAAAAGATTTTCTGACTAAAACGTGGGCTCCAAATGAGTGACAATTTCAGCAGGTAACTGGACATTCTATATCACAAATCATCCCACGAGGAGTAACATAAAATCAAGGACAATTTCTAAGGCTGGAGGAGAAGAGAGTCTATGACCTTAGTAAAAGAAAATGTTCAGCTTCTATTAACTCTGTTAACCCTAAAAGGTTACACGATGTTATAAAAAATGAACAATTTCATTTTGTTTCTTTAAATTATTGGCTCAAAATAAAAATGAACACAATGAGTCTCTGATTTTACCTGGAAGCTGCAAAGAAGCTTGTGATTTGGTAACCAAAGCTGGCATAGTAAGCATGCTCCATGATTGCCATCAACTGAATGCAGTTGTATCCTATATAAGGCAATGGTCAAATCTAAATTAAAAGCCACATTTAAAAAAAAAGTAATGGGGAAAAAAAGCATCCTTATTCCAAATACATTAAAATTTACAAACAATCTAGAAGCTTTGGTCGTCTTGAAAAGTTCTACTACTTTAACATTTTTTTGTTTGACCTTCTAACAACATTGGATAGTCTCTTAGAGCTGTATTCTGACTAGCTATTTGATATAGCTTCATTTTAACAAGCAATAAATAATATGCAAATTTACTTAATTTGGTTTTAGCATATTAAAAACGGCAATCTCCATATGCTAAACATCAGTTACACTTGCAATATTCATATTGAAGATTATGAAAGCTAAATAAAAATAACCAATTGCATGACATACGCTTTTTATTTTGACTCTATGTATTTCTATATATTTCAATCCTTTTTTCCATATAGCATAAGAAATAGCACCAAACCCTTATTTTCCATAAGGTAGCTTTTTTTTTTTTTTTTTTGAGATGGAGTCTCGCTCTGTTGCCCAGGCTGCAGTGCAGTGGCTTGATCTCAGCTCACTGCAACCTCCACCTCCCAGGTTCAAGCAATTCTCATGCCTCAGCCTCCCAAGTAGCTGGAACTACAGGTGCGTGCCACCATCCCTGGCTATTTTTTTGTATTTTTGGTAGAGATGGGGTTTCACCATGCTGGCCAGGCTGGTCTCGAACTCCTGACCTCAGGTGATCCACCCACCTCAGCCTCCCAAAGTGCTGGGATTACAGGCGTGAGCCACCGCGCCCAGCCTGCAAGGTAGCTTTTATACAGTCAGCATTAATGCTTCTACTTTCCACTACATAATTTGCACCTAAAAAATTATTTCCAAGTTGCATATATGCATGTATGTGCATATACAAACACACGTCACCTTCCTTTCTCCATCTGAATATGTTTTGCTCTAACAGTAAATAAAGTGACTCAAAAAAGTAGATATTGTGTTTTAAAAATCCGTAACATTAAAAAAATTCTAATATATTTTTAATATAAGCAAATGATCAGAAGAAAAAGTATTGGTCTTAAAAAAGCTAAGAAAAACAGGTTTTTCTTCTTGAAGTATAATTTGGTAAAATGTTCGAATATGATTTCATTACTTTGGAAGTTACAGTTCTGTAACATACATAGTAAATATTCTTATTCTGCTCTCAAAGTCCAATTCATATAAGCTTTATAATTTTCTTAAGGTTTATATAAGCTCATTGTTAATGGCAGTTCATGTAACTATACAACTATATTTGTAAATACACTTATAAACAAAGATATTAGTTTCATTCTTCTTGGCTGATACCTTGTATCAAGCACAAATTTATAGTTTTATTCTTAATTTTTATGGCATTAATCATTCCTGGATTCACTTTCATTCCAGGTACTAGGCTAGACAATTCAAACACAAAGATGAGTAAGAGAATCCTTGTGCTGCTGAACGTTCTGCAAGAACTGGGTCATAAGCAATTTATTACTCCATAATATGAAAGAATATCTCAAATATAATAATTTAGCATAATATCTATTAATTATAATTAATACTAAATACTCTATACATTTAATTAATTTTGGTTTCTGGAACCTGACTTTACCATCACAGATAATCCATACATAACTGAAAACTTTAACCATGCCTTACAAACCTTTCTTCTAGCCAAAATTTGGACTCTCTAGCAGAAGCAGCATAATTACATGTGCTTTATCCTCCTGCCTAGTCATTGAAGCAGGTGTTAAATATACTGTTGTATTATTTTAAATATCATTACCTATAAAAACAACAGATTTAAAGCACACTGAATCAATAATTCAGCAATATATTCTTTACTCTCCTGTTTGTTATGAAGACAGGATCTGTGCCATTACAGTTCAATACATGAACATCTAGCAAAATGTGTCTCACATAGATATTCTATAAATGTTTGTTAAATAAATCATCCAGGCAGGGGCTATATAAAATAACTGATACAAAATGAGTTCCGGTCACATTACAGATAAAATATTTTTTTCCTTAACAGACTAAAATGAACAGGCTATAGTCAATAATCACTTAAATTGATAAAGGTTTCCTCCAGTAAAAAAGTAATTATGCTTACATATTTATCTATAATTTTGGAAGTCATCAGTTCACATTACTTAAAATTTAAATTGGAATAATATCTTTAATTCTTATGCTCTATCTTATTCCATTTCTCCTTTCTATGCTATCACTATTACAGGGCAATTTGAGAAGCCTAAAATAAAATGCCTTTCTATTACATATTTAATCTCCTAACACAAAAAAGAGACACTTGTAATTAGCTTTTCTAATAAGAGAACAGACTCATTAAAATTTTATCTGAATAAAAATCACAGTTATTACTTACCAAGGCCTTTGATTCTTGGTAGTACATTGCATGTAAAATGTTTATAAGAAGCTACTTTTCCTTCATGGGAAGAAATTCCCACATGAGATTCATAAATTCTTAGACTCCGTGGCTTCTTTGGTCTGGAATGCTTAAACTACAGAATATAAAATTATGTATAGAGTTAAGCCAGGAATTCTGGTATGACACTACCTGATCAAGTATATTTTTAAAAAGTGGTGAATATACTCAAACACTTGGAACTATTCTCACATATAAAAGGCACCAGCTACACTCACTAAATTTTCTCTCAGGAAAAAGTCCTTATGGTCCTGCTAGTGGACCTATTTTAAAAGATAAATCATGTAATAGCTTATGCCTTATCATTGAGTAAATTTTTTTTTAACTTAGGCCTTAGAGAAAATGTAAGAGCCATGAAATACATATGTAATTATCTAATGCAAAGTATATATCAACAAACTCCAATGATTTAAAAGACAGAAAGTGAGTTCAAACAATCACAGAACACTTGTCACTAATATGGCGGTAAAAATTACCCTAGTTAATACATTCATGAGATGGTCTTCCCCATTCCGTGTTTCTAAGGACATTGATCCTAATTCAAACCCTGAGAAATACTGCACTAAAGAGTCTCTGATCAATCAGAAATTGTAGTTTAAAAAAAAAACCAGTATCCCTTATAGATTAGTATATAGCAATTTAGTATTCTGTTTTCTTTAACCTCAAAAACATAGACAACACAAAAACTAACTTCTATATGTTACTGGCTACAGAAGACAGACTATGATACTCATACAGTATAAAAGGAATACTATGATGTAAAATACGCAACTGTCAGTGAAGATAAGCATTGAACATTACTATAAAAGTTATAAAAGTAAAAATTAACTTTCCTAGAAATATTGGAACAATAATTTATTTAAAGATTTGTTGTTCTCACCTCATATGAGTGTTCTGGATCCCAGTGTATCCAATCATAATTCACATTATCACCTTCACGAACCACATACTTTGCCCACGGTGAAATACGATACAAGATCTCTCCGCTTTTACTAGTAATAACTACCTAAAAAGAGAATGACATGTTATTGCTTTAAAATACATCCAGAACTCTGATAATACATAATGGTTTAGGAGCACTGCTACAAGTAGGAAAGGAGGACTGATCTTAAGAATCTAGACCACCATACAGATGTGTGACCTTCAGGAACATAATTCTATCAATGTTGGTTTTCTCATCTGCTGTTACTATATCATCCTTAAAGTAACTTCCAGCTTGAACATTTTATGGCTTTCTGGCAATTTCCACCACTGCAAACCAGCCATAAGAGTGCTTACTTAAACGAACAGTAGATACTAAAAAGACAAGAATATTATTTGGAAGCTTCTGTCAATTAATCAATCAATGGGAGAAAATCATCCTACTCCATTAAAAAAAGCAATTAGTGAGTTATATAACCATCTCTTTCATTTGCTTTCTATAGCAACTAATGAAAACATGTTCAGGAAGCTAAAGAAGAAAAACAGGTTTGATTAACACAATGTGCACGCACAGACACATACATTTTCCACACCTTCTCAACTTCTTTTACCTCCTATTTGTTGTATTCTTTACCATATAAAACCAAACATTATCTCCTTTAATCATCCGTTCACATATTTGCCAGCAATATGACTATTTTTGATAATAAAAAATAACAAATTTATTTTTTTAACTGAATCTACCATTAAGACTTAGAACTGAATAAATGATTTTGAATTTATCCAGCCATATAAATGGAACTTCCAAATGATTGAAATGATAGCTTTTTATTTATTTTATTTTTTTGAGACAGGGACTCACTCTGTCACCCAGGTGGAGCACAGTGGTGCGATCGCAGCTCACTGCAGCCTCAACCTCACAGGCTCAGGTGATCCTCCCAATTCAGCCTTTCGAGGAGCTGGGACTACAGGCATGTACCACCATGCTCAGCTAATTTTGGGGGGGTCTGGGGTTTTTTTGTAGAAATGGGGTTTCTCTGTGTTGCCCAGGCTAGTCTTGAGCTCCTGGGCTCAAGTGATCCTCCTGTCTCAGCCTCCCAGAGTGCTGAGATTACAGGCGTGAGCCAATGCAGCAGGCTGAAATTGTAGCTTTTACACAAAGTTGCCTTTTTTACTAAACTTTCTAAAAGGAGGTAGAATACAATTTTAAAAATCCAGATTAAAAGCTATATTATGTCCTCATCATTGAGGAGAACGTATTCTTCAGTCTCCTCTAATAGAGAAAGGTTAAGTACTCACAATTCTTAGTAATTAAATATTTGTATAATGCCTTATAGTTTATAAAGACTTTTACATTCTTATCTCACTTGATTCCAGAAAATCTTTGTGACCTAAATATTAAGTGAGATTACATAAGTTGCCAGAAGTCCCAAAATAACCAAGCGGCAGAGCCAAAAGCTCAACGCAGAGCTTCTAATACTCACTTCTCTTCTCTGAACAGGCTTCCACAGCACTTCCTTCAGATGCCAAAAAATAATAAATTATGGTTTATGACGGAGAGGCCAAGTAAGTGGTGAAAGGAATGTCTAAGTTACATGAATACAATTATTTCTCCTTCATTATGCCTCCCACCTATTAAAGCTAATCATCGCCAGGTGTTGCTATTATTCAAGCCATTATCACAAAACATGAATCAATAAGACCAATCTATTTCAACTATTTTAAGCTTAAAAAAAAAACTCCCTTAAGCTACATGAATTTGTAGCATAATATGCTACAGTAATATGTTTAAGAAAGGGCCTTTTGCTCACTCATCAACCCAGAACAAGGTATGAGGAAACAAAATACTATAAACCAGTTTTCCGTGACTACCACTTTGGCTAATCTATCCACCTATGCTTTCTCTGTTTTGTAAACGGCTCTATAATACCTCCAAAGGCCCATCATAAACTAATAATAATTTCTAAAGGTGTCTGTTGGCAGAGAAAATACTTGCAATTTTAAGACATGAAGAATCTACTTCATGCTGAATTTAACCCCCACATCCTTTGGAACACTAATCCATTCATCTTGCTGTACACACAAATGTCTCCAGAGGCTACTGAGTGATGGGTGTTGAATGTTGAAAGGAACAATACCTGCATGGTTCTCTGATGCTCCTATATCTTTTGCTGGGTATGCCAAGAAGGCAAGGCCCTGACCATTGTTAATGGGAGCCATTTCTTAGGGCTGTCCTTCTAGCAAGCAGCCTTCAAGGATAACATAATGATGCCCTTGAAGACACAGAGCTGCTACAAAAGAAGGGATTCTCCAGGCTCAATATTATCCAGCTATGATGTGAACCCAACGTGTGAGCAGCAGCCATCTGGGTCATATAGTGTCACCCCTATGGGGCTTGGAGGACAAGGGGAGCCAATGAAAATATGATACCTACTGTGCCATGAGTAATAAAATAATTGTTCTCTGTTCTAGGAGTCCTGGGCCAGAATCGACAATATGGTAACAGGTTAACTTCTAAGTTTGTAGGTAGGGTAAAATCAAATCACAGACTTGACAAAGGAGTATTTGCTCATTCACTGAATAACTTCAATATTTTGTTTCCAAAGGTTCTGTCTTCTGCTACTCTAACAGTCATTTCTACTAGGGTTGCTTGTTGAGTGGAGTATTTTAATTTCTCCATTTTCTCCTTCTCTCTTATTCATGGAATTGCAACCAACTGTTAAGGAGAGCAAAGCTTTCTACCAAATCCGGAACACTGACCTGTGATTGTTACATAATAAATATCTCTACTCTTTAGGCCCCTGGATTTTGCAAGTATTTTTGTTATAGTAACTTAGGTTTTACTTACTAGTACATTTGTCTATAGTAGCTGTCTCACCTTGCTTTTCACTTTCTGTTTCTAAATTCTTGTAATCTTCATAACCAAATAAGAGTATCATAATAAATCTAAATAAATTTAATTTGAGAGACAATGCAAAGAGTAAAGACTATAGCCTTTACGGACTAAACTTTGCTCACAAAACTCTTTTGGTGAGGGGGAGGGTACATCCTGCATTTGTGTTATGCTCCAATGAGTTCAAATTCCAGTCGGAAAAATTTTTAGAGAAAACTTTATGTCATTTAACTCACAACCTCAAAATGTCAGCATGCTATGGAGCAAACTGAAAGAAAGAACTGGCTTGATTGATCTTTCAACAATAAGTCTGGTAGCTAATGTTTAAAAGAGTTCACTTGATACTGTCAAATGGGAGGTCTGATACACTGCTAGTGTGAGTATAAAGCAGTATAAAATTTCTGAATAGCAATTTGACAATCTGCATCAAAAATTCAGAAAAATTAATTCCAGGTCAGGCACAGTGGCTCACACCTACAATCTCAGCACTTTGGGAGGCTGAGATGGGAGGATCACTTGAGGTCAGGAATTTGAGACCAGCCTGGGCAACATAAGGAGACCTGGTCTCTACAAAAGATTAATGAAAAATAAAATAAAATTAAGCTAAATTAAACGGCATGATGATGCATGCATACAGTCCTCGTTAATTAGGAGGGTGAGGCAAGAGGACAGCTTGAGCCAAAGAGTTCAAGGGTACAGTGAGCTATGATCATGACACTGCACTCCAGCCTGGACAACAGAGAAAGACCCTGTCTACAAAAAAAAAATAAAGCTAAAAGAAAAAAGTAACTTCAATGAATCAGCAATACTAATTATAAAAGCTTGCCTCATGGAAACAATCAAGATATGTGCTCAAAAAACAATAGCCTTGTCTATCAGTCTTGGTGCTACTTCTATTAGCAAACACAGAGTGACTGAATAATGTATAGTTGTTAAAAAATATACTATTTAAGCATATTAAAGGTTGCAGAAAAAGTCTTCTAAGTTATATGAAAGAATATATTGTATCTTTCTAATGTAAATGCACAAAAACTCACAGCCTAAAGTATTTTAAAAGATATAAAAATATCAATATGGTTACCTATGGGTAAGGGGATTGTTAGTAGTTTTTATTTTTTAGCTATACGTTTTGATATTATCACTTCATTTACTTGTACAGATTCTAGATTCCAAAAATATAAGCGGTTTAGTAAGGATTACAAATATATGAATCATCTAATCACACATACATCTGCAGAGTGTGCTACTTAAGGTGTACATCTTGCGTACCTTAAGTATATTAACACATTAAGAAATACAACTTAACAAAATATATCAAATTACTTGAAAGAAATATAATGAAAATAATACCATAATAATACCAAATAATACCATAATAATCCTTTTTAATGAGCCAAATTATTTATTTGACTTATAGGAGGTTATCATCAAAAGACATTATTAGATTACATAAATAATTTAATAAAAGAAACTTCTAACTGTGTAAAAGTCAAATTAACTTAGTGAATGGTTTAAAGTCAAATTTTATTTAGAACATGTCATTTAAAACTCAAATACACAATATAAAAAACAGTAAATGTTGAAGACAAAAAAGTGTGTGTGTGTGTGTGTGTTCATTCATGCTTGGAATATATTTTAAAGTGCTTCTTGCAAAACACAAATTTTCCATGTACTGGAAAATTACTGAGATAATATGTTCCTTAGGTGGCCAACAGTTTTATATAAAAAATCGGATGTGTTCAGCTGGTTAGAAGTAACTGTTAGCATATTTTGAAAGATGGTAATGAATGTAGCTCTAGGCTTCATGAAGGAAAGTGTAGCAGGCTAACAGAAAACGCACAGTTATTGAATCATATAATTCAAATTGCCCCAATTATACTACAAATATCTCCTAATGTTGTGAGGAGAAGCTTTTCTTTAAAAAATTTTTGCTTAAAGCAGAGTGAAAAAAAACATATTGATCAAGATAACTATTTGATAGGCTACAGGTCAAAGTGAATTATCAAACAAGTGATTTCTAATTTATAGAAAAATACTACTTCCACTTCTTTTTTATTTCACTTTTAAAATTTCAGCTTTATTGAGTTATAATTAACAAAAATTGTATATATTCAAGGTGTAAAACAATGTTTTGATATATGTACACATAAACCCAACATATTTTAACAACATGTATATTTTTTGTTTCTACCAATCAGATGAGATGATGGCCACAGAGTATTTGCCAGCTGTTAATCCTTTAATAGCTGAGTTGTCCCGAGTTCTGGAAGTTCTGGAAGAAACATGAGGGTGGTAGGAGTTGTACTCACAAGTCCCTGAGCAGTACCTATTTATCAAATATTAAAATATTTTTATTTTAATAATAAGTATAGCCATACCAGTGTACAATGCTGAATATCAGTATTCTGTGTGCATATATATGTATATGTGTATTTCCAATAAGACTGAAACACACACACAGAGACACACAGACAGGTCTGGCTAATTGTTATTTTTAGTAGAGAAAGGGTTTCACCATGTTGGCCAGGCTTATCTTGAACAACTGACCTCAGGTGATCTGCCCACTTCAGCCTCCAAAAGTACTGGGATTACAGGCATGAGCCACTGCACCCGGCCTATAATTAATTTTTAAGTAATTTGTAGAAGAGGGTGGAAGGAACATAAAAAAGAAAAAAGTAATCAAAAATTTGTAATTAAGTAGAAAAATAAGTGATATTCCAGATGAAAAGCTAACAATTCTACCAATGACCTGAATCCCGAAGAAATAAATGTGTGTTTTTGTTATTGTTGTTGTTGTTGTTGTTGTTATGGAGTTTTACTCTTGTCGCCCAGGCTAGAATGCAATGGTGCCACCTCCACTCACTGCAACCTCCACCTCCCAGGTTCAAGCAATTCTCCTGCCTCAGCCTCCTGAGTAGCTGGGATTACAGGCACCTGCCACCACGCCCAGATACTTTCTGTATTTTTTTTAGTAGAGGCAGGGTTTCACCATGTCGGCCAGGCTGCTCTCGAACTCCTGACCTCAGGTGATCCACATGCCTCGGTCTCCCAAAGTGCTGGGATTACAGGGCTGAGCCACCACGCCCAGCCAAATGTGTGTTTTTAATAGTCACAAATATCTAGTGTAAACATTATTTTAAAATGCATAGATAGAATTTATAATCGCTAAAACTTTAAAATAACTTAATACAATTTAAAGTAAAGCTCATAAATTTCATTTCAACCAAACTAATCTTTCACTACTTATCCTTGTTTTTGTTTTGTTTTGTTTAAAACAGGACCTATTTGTATAAATTCTATCCACAGCTCTGCTTGTCATTTCTGCTGAGCCAATTTAACATTAATGAAGCTTATGTGAAGAGTATGTGGGCAAGAATCTCTTTGCCATTGTGTGAGGCTGAAAATGGCCTCCCAAAAGATATCCACACCCTACGCCAAGAATCTGTGAATGATACCTTCTGTGACAAAAGAAGGTCTTTGCAGATGTGATTAAAGTACAAATCTGGAAATGGAGAGATTCTTACTCCATTTCCAGATTCTGCAGGGGGGCAATCACAGAGGGAGATTTTACATATAGAAGAGGAGAAGACACTGTGACCCAGGAGGGAGAGAGTGGAGTGACGAGGATACTAGCGAAGGAATGCCAGCCACTTCCAGAAGCTGAAAATGTCATGGAACACATTCTCCCCTAGAACCTCCAGAGGGACTATGGCCCTGACAACAACTTGATTTCAGCCTGGTGATACTGATTTTTAACTTCTGCACTTCAAAGCTATGAGAGAATACATTTACATTATTTAAAGCCAACATATTTACACAGTAGCCTTAGGAAACTAATACAGCCAATAAGGGAAAATTTGGAAACAATAATTTTTCTATGAATAAAATGGAAATAAACTTAGTTGAAATTTGTCAGTACTGGAAAGAGTTTAAAGATATAAGTTATCTTCATGAGTAGTCTAAATAATACATTTGTCTTGTGTTCTTACTCCCAAAAAGTAGACAAATATGTACTAATACGTTACAGTGAACTTCACTAAACAAGGTAAGTCTCCTTGACGATTCCCAGGTAAAGCAAACTCCTTCAAAATAAACATTGCTGAGTTCCAGACTTGAGAGAAGGGACTTTAAAAATGTGAATTTGTGCCCGGGTGTGTGGCTCACGCTTGTAATCAAAGCAATTTGGGAGGTCAAGGCAGGTGGATCACCTGAGGTCAGAAGTTCCAGACCAGCCTGATCCATATGGAGAAACGCCGTCTCTACTAAAAATACAAAAATTAGCCAGGCGTGGTAGCAGGTGCCTGTAGTTCCAGCTACTCGGGAGGCTGAAACAGGAGAATTGCTTGAACCTTTCAGGCAGAGGTTGCAGTGAGCCGAGACCACGCCACTGCACTCCAGCCGTCTCAAAAAAAAAAAAAACAAAACAAAAAAAAACAATAAATTTGTAATACACAGTTTTTATACCTAGCCTTCTTCCCACGTAAGTATTTTCAAAGATTAGACAAAAACAATCACTGCATACGTGATGTAAATGAAGCCTCTAAATTTACCATATGGAAAAGCAAAGGGAATATTTTTTCCTACCCAATACCTGACATATTTGCTTCATTAAACAGAGATGAAACTATTTAAGTAAACAGATAATCAGTGAACAAAAAAAAAATATCTATTGAAAAAATTGCATTCTGAATTTCCTAACTAGGAAGATGAAAATCAGAAACACTCTTCATCGTAACTGCTAGTTCATTGTGAACTTTGAGTTTATATTTCTATTAATGGGGAATTAAAATAAAGAGATCACTAAAATTAAACAGACCTTAATATATAAAAGACCACTTCCTGGGTGAATTTTTCTAAAACTGTACATAGTTAATCGGTAAGATTATATAAATTAGGGTAATATTTAGGCTACAAATGACATTATATATTATTTAATTAAGCCTGCTATGGGTACCAAATAAACATAACTGTTTTCTTGAAATTATTTTAATTTTCTGTTAATTTTATCTGGATAATAAAGTTCATATATTTTAGAAATCTCTTTCTTTGCCTCATAATTTAGTTCATAGTTTTCAATTAATCAAATAAACTTATATAAGACATATGCATATAAAATCATCCTTGTGAGGCTCTTTACATCTACAATGTTCAGGAATTGAGAGAGGTGGATAGAGAGAGATTAAATGATTAGATTTTGCCCCTGAGCTCTTATATTATGCAAGACTGGACACTACACAGGAGAAAAGAAGATATCCTGGCTAGTAGCTTAACTAAAAAAGGATAGAAATTAGTTAAACTTCTAAAGCAATAACCTATAGATCAAATTTCACTAGATACCATTATTTTAGATTTCTTATTTTAAAACATGCCATCATAATGTATTTTTTTTCTTTAATAAAAAACAAGAAACCTTTCCAAGGTTGAATCCATAGCAACAGCTTGAATAGGACAAAGGGTTTCTCTAACAAAAATAAATACTAACAAATCATAATTTTAAAACTTCATTAAAGGAAAAGACTGAGTATATTAGCTATGAAAAATAAATCTGTAATGTGATACAAATGAGTGTCAGACCAGTTTATACAAAACTTTGGGATAACAGACACCAATGTATAGAACAAAAAAAAAGACTATTTTTGAGGTATAATACACATAGCTTCTTTGTCCCTGACAACACCAATTAGAGAATTATAAATATATTACAATCTCATTTCTGTAATACTTACACATGAGAAAGAAGAAACTGCAGAATATTGTGAAAGTAAATAAAGGTCAGTAGTCACTTCTGAAACCAGGTCCTGACTTAGAATGATTTAGAGAGACAGAAGCTTCTGCACCTATAAAAAGGAGTATTATCCCCCAAGGTTTATACCCTAGTTCCCCTATCTTCTAGCCTAGTTAAGGAGTATTACAATTGTAATATGGTTTTCTTTCTCTGCTTTTCTACCGAGGCAAATCTTTAAAGAAATAAAGAAACAACTAAGTAGGACTGATAAAGTGTTTGCTTCATTTCAAGTACATTACCTGAACAAAAACCTTACAAAGTGAGGTCACTACAAAAAGACAAAGTCCAAAGGGATTATTTGAGATTTACGAAGCAGGCATTGAAAACGATATCCCTGAACAAGTGAGAATAAACACTCCTAAGTGAAAAGAAAAGGAACAATGCTGAGATGTTGTAATCATGTAAAGATTGATTAGGTGTCTTAGACTAGAAAACAAATGAATTACACATGATACAAAAATATGGGATTTAAACATCCAAGATATTGAAAGATCAATATCGTAATAAAAGAAAAAGGCTATGAAAAGGGGAAAAAATCAGTGAGTTTTCATTACTGAAAGAGTGTGCTTCAAAGAGACTCATCCATGTGCAGTGAAGGTTAGAATTCTATTAAGTAAACAGAGTTATAATCTGGTATAAAGCCAATAAAAAAAAATCTAAGAAGTATTTTCAGAAGTGATAGGATAGGGGAAGCACTATCATAGGATGAGTTGAAGTTCTTTTAAAAATATTTTATTAAGTATAATTACAAAAGTCTATGTGGTAATAAATTCAATCATTTGAAGAAAAAAATATGATTCCTAAGCAATCATTCTTTTTTTATTTTTTTTTTATTTTTTTTTAGACAGTCTCAGTCTGTCACCCAGGCTGGAGTGCAGTGGCGTGATCTCGCCTCACTGCAACCTCCACCTCCCAGGTTCAAGGGATTCTTCTGTCTCAGCCTCCCAAGTAGCTGGGACTACAGGTGCATGCCACCACGCCCGGCTAATTTTTTTTTTTTTTTTTTTGTATTTTTAGTAGAGATGGGGTTTCACCATATTGGCCAGGTTGATCTCAAACTCCTGAGCTAGTTATCCGCCCACCTCGGCCTCCCAAAGTGCTGTGATGACAGGTATGAGCCACCGCACCCGGCCCCTAAGCAATCATTCTAAGTGCCATTGCAATGAAGTAAAATATAAAGCATGGAGGGAAAAAAAAGAAATAACTCAACCCCTAAAAGAAATCTAGAGAAATTCCGAAGACTACACACAGAATACATAATTCTAAAAATTATAGGATCTTTTAAGAAAACATACAATTACATATTCAATAAACATTAAGACTATTACATCCAAGAATATAGTTAATGACTATTAAATAAACAGTTAATGATGAGATGAATTCCTCTTGAATCTTTAAATATTCTTTACAAATTAAGGTCTCACAGGTTGGAACACTATCATTCTTTTCTCTCCTTTCTTCTACAAAAAATCTGTATTTTGCCAGGTATAGGTGATTTTAGAGTAAAAAGAACTGGAAATAGATATGTATGTACAATGATGAAAGTAAATACAACCATCAAGAAATAAGAAAGCGATGAAATAGTTTGTATTATGGGAAAGAGATAATGACTATCAGTAAGAAGTAGCACTAGATATGCATTTGGATAATTTCTTGTCAATTGATTTTTTTAACAGCATTCCAGTAGGTTATAAAAGATGGTCAAGAATTGGAGTGACCTTTGGATAATGGACTCAGGCACTAGAGGTGGAAACAGTGATGATGGGAAGAAACAGTGGTAAATAATAGGATTCTACACAATGAAGCTTGCTACTTTCATCCTTCCTTGTTCAGATATATCTAAATATTTAAACATAAATGCCCCCATCTTGTGTAGATAAAGCCAAGGCACAAGGCAGCAAACTTTGAGCTTGATCTCTAAATGTGACAACTCCTCTGGAAAAGTAGAGAAAACTACTGAATAAACTAGTGAATATAATTCAGTCAATAAAGCACAGGTCTGGGAATTACTCACCTGACCAATGAGTGAGGCATGGGGAATATTCGTAAGATGAGACGCAGTGACCTATGGCTGACCATTTAAAAAAAATTATATGTTCATGAGAACATATAATTTTCAATTTGAGCACTAGTCACGTGGGGAAATGTAATGCTACTGACATATTAGGATGGATAAAGATGAACATACTGAAGTGCAAAAAAAACACACACACATACACTGAACCACACACTTTAAATTGAAGAAAGTTAAACATTAATTTTGACATTTAACAAAAACTTAACTGTGATATTCAATAAAAGAACCCAGCTTAAATGTAAATGTTTAAATCATGAATGAGATTGTATAGTATGTACTTTATCAGGAGAAAAAGGTTATTTCCTGTAGGCATACCTTTATTCATCATTATTTGAAGGTATACTTGGTCAAAGTGCAAATACTTTTATTAAACATAACCAAAAATAATGCCCACCTAAACAGTCACAAACTGTAATTTTCTTCCTTTTTCTGGCACACCAATAAAAGATCAAATACCAAACAAAAGCTCTCTTGAAAAAAAATTGGATGACTACATAATTTAGAAGAAAAAAGCATGAAACATTTTTATTTTTTAAAAAAAGTATTTCTAAAAAAAATGTGAGAAAGTGTTCAATTTTCCAGATTTTATAATCATATTTAAAATATACTATGCCCACATTGAAGGAAGAAAGAAAAAAAGATGATAAAATACAACATATTTCACAGTACACAGATACAAGAAAAGTAAGCTTGCTAATACATTTAAAATATCTATGGAATCAATGTTTACATTAAGGGATCAATCAGGAAACAGAACTTTATGGACAGTATAATTTTTTAGATAATGGT
Organism: Homo sapiens; assembly: GCF_000001405.40. Lineage (NCBI taxonomy): Eukaryota > Metazoa > Chordata > Mammalia > Primates > Hominidae > Homo > Homo sapiens. The sequence goes on from NC_000003.12 coordinate 81,661,381, forward strand.
GATTCATTTGTACAAGCATTAAATAAAACAGAGAAAAAGAATGCTTTTTATAATTATTTTTCTAAAATGTATCCCACAACCACCTGTCGCATTAAACACTTGTTGAGATTGATTTGTATACTCCGACGTGCCTGGAATACAAACATTTTCCCCTTTAATTCAGTAAGAAAATATTAGGCTTTTATATGTATCTTGGACAGCAGTTTTCAACCCTGAAAAGCAGTAGGAACTCCTGAGGAATATCTTAAAGATGCCTTAGACTGATTTCTAACCACTGCCACCATCCTACCAATTGTTCTTGATTCAGATTTTGTGACCTGCAGTCTAATGCTTTAGGAGATAAAAGCTAGACCTGAGAAGGTAAAAGACAGAGTAGCTACAAGTACCAGTGTTCCAGTAACAAAATGATAGATCTTTATTTTTAAAAAATAATAATAATAAATTATCATAAAGGAAAGAAAACATCAGGTTACAGGGAATATATTTCCTAAAACCCTGGTAATAATACTTTTGCAAATCAGAAATATTTCACAATAAAATTTGTCTCAATCTCTACTTTGCATTTTAAATATATTTATGTTTTAACAAAAATTTACAATTATATTTAATCCTTCATTGCCTAATCTTCCTACTAATTTATTCATTTTTTTAATTTTATTTATTTATTTTTAGACGAAGTTTCGCCCTTGTTGCCCAGGCTGGAGTGCAATGGCACAATCTCGGCTCACCGCAACCTCCGCCTCCCGGGTTCAAGCGATTCTCCTGCCTCAACCTACCGACTAGCTGGGATTACAGGCATTCCCCACCACACCCGGCTAATTTTTGTATTTTTACAGAGACCTGTTTTCTCTATGTTGGTCAGGCTGATCTCAAACTCCCCACCTCAAGTGATCCACCCGCCTCGGCTTCCCAAAGTGCTGGGATTACAGGTGTGAGCCACCGTACCCGGCCCTTCCTGCTATTTTATTATTCTCAAATAATAAAATTTAAATATCTTTATAAACTTAAGTTAATCTCACTCAAATCATTGAAGGCTTCCATGCTGGCTCAGAAATTTATCCATCGGTGGTCCTGAGCATACCTATGATTGTCCTTAAACTCACATCATTTACTTATGAAAAAGTTTCCACTATACTTGGGAATGCTGTCATAAAAGAGTCTGGTAAATTTACTCAAGCCTCTGATCTTACCCTGTTGTTCTAACCCATCAATATTTTTTAAATTTTGCAATTTCCATACTATGCATCACATCAATCATTTTGCCAAACATTAACAGTTTTGTAAAAAAAAAAAAAAAGAAAAAAGAAAATGAAAGTTACCAATGTTACTTTAAATGCCATTACTAAAACTTGATACTTTTCTTCTCAATACATAATTTTTATTTTAAAATTGTAGCAGATAATGGCTCTTTAGTCAGTCAAACTGCCTTTCTGCTTTCTTTCCTTGTATTAGAGAACATGGAAAGCTTAAAAATCACATTTTTCTCCCTCTCTTGCAGCTAGATTTCAACATGGTTAATGAACTCATATAAGAAACGGAAGGAAGAAGCAAGTACGTGAGGTAGATCATATAGGGATCAATTGGTTTTGCCTGAGAATGCAGAGTGATGCTTAATGTAATAAAATCCATTATCTACATAGTCACAAAGAGTGGAAAACTCAAAGATAATTATCGAGCTGATATGGAAGTGCTAGGAAGGGAAAAGTATGGTCCCTTTAAATAATACAGAAGAGGGAAGGGAAGTGCTGGGTAGAGAAAGCTGGGTCCCTGGCTAGGGCTCCACTCTCATGGACCTAGGTGAGGACAAGCACTCCTGCCCTTCCAGCCGAAATGTTGCATTTTCCAATACCACCCTGGCCCGCCAGGAACCATCATGGGCCTATAAAAACCCAAGACCCCAGTGGGCAGACACATAGGTGGCCAGACGTCGAGAGGACCACATCAGCGTAAGCAGCTGGAAGGCAGGAGGACGCGGAGGGGGCACGCCAGCTGAAGAGCACCCTAACAGACATCAGCATGCCCGCAGGCCATATACTGGTGGGACAAGACAGAGTTTGGCCGGGGCAATCTGAGGAGAGCCAGAGCCACTGAAGGGCCCAACTCCAGGGGAAAACCACCTCCCTACTAGCTCTGCCATCAGCAGAGAGCTACTTCCACTCGATAAAACCTTGCATTCATTCTCCAAGCCCAGATGTGATCCTATTCTTCCAGTATACCAAGGCAAGAACCCGGGATACAGAAAACCCTCTGTCCTTGTGACAGGGCAGAGGGTCTAATTGAGCTGGTTAACACAAGCAGCATATAGACAGCAAACTAAAAGCACACGGTAGCACACGCCCACTGGGGCTTCATGAGCTGTAAACATTCACCCCCAGGCACTGCCGTGGGGTTGGAGCCCCACAGCCTGCCCGTCTGTGAGTTCTCGCAGAGGTTTGAGCAGCGGGGCACTGAAGTAGTGAGCCACACCCCCATCGCGCGCCCTGTGAGGGGACAAGGGAACCTTTCCCATTTCAATGTCATCATTAATTAGTTCATGACACTAATAATTTCCATTTGTACCTTCCTACACATAATTATGTGCACATTCGGAATCAGCTTTTTCATGAGAAATAATCATAAAAAGGGGCTGTGCATAGAAAAAAAAATATTTTCTCCGTGCATTTGGTTTCAAAATTCAAATTTTAAAATTTATTTTTTATAAGCAGAGTTTATTACAGTTATGCAAAAAGACACAGAAGTTGGCAATACCTAGGAATGCTAGGGGCAGAGAGGATGAAGAGGAGGGTCAATCTGTATTTCAACTAAGATGAGAAGCAGTACTCTTTTTATGAAAAATAAGAAGAACATAATTTGACTTAACCTAGGACCTCATTTCAGAAGAACACAACACATCTGGAATATCAGAAAGTTTGGAATCAAAATAAGTTTGAGAGAAGAAGTGGAATAAGGTTCACATGAGCAAAGCTGGAGGCAGAACCTGGATTGAAGGCTTAAAGAATGGTAAGGAAATGACAGAGCCTGGAAAATTAAATGGCAAAAATAGAAAACTTGAATGTGTCAAAAAAAAAAAAAAAAAAACCTGCCAGCACTACGAAGACAAATAGTACAGATATGTCCAAACCTGAGAGCAGCTGGGCCTAAAACGCCCCAACATTTTGAAAAGAAAAAGAAAACCAACAAAATTTCTTCAGATGTTAAAATTATTTTTATATAATAACTCATTATTAATTTTAAAATGAGTTCATGTCTCAGGATCAAATGGAAAGAGGTGCTGCTCAGCTGAGAACAATGTGTTCATGAGATTGCTTATAGTTCTATTCACATGAACAGATATTTGCAAAAATCACCCACTGTAATTACCAGTGCAAAACATTACGGATTATTATTTCATTATTATTATCACTTCAAACCTCTCAACATGACTGTAAATGTGACTTCTTAAGTCAATGACATAGAATTGGCAATCACAAACTAACTATATTTAGCATAATGACAGAGTAAACCTTGTTTAATATAAGTATGCAAATGTCAATGGCATTGTTATTTACAAAGGCAACAAACAAAAGCCATCACCTGTATATTCTTCAATTTATATTATTTCATTACATTCTAGTTTGTATATGAAATAATGCCTATTCTGAGAGAATTTTTTAATTCAAAGGAAGTTTGCAACAGTGTTTCATAATAGTAATACACATTTATATATACACACATATATTCACATATATTATACTACACATCCATTTAATTTCTGTGGGTTGAAGTAGTGTTTCTAACCTCTTAGAAATGCTGATTAAATAAGTTCTTTAAGTAATTTATGAAAATTAAACAAATGAAAATTACTAGATTGATGTTAGACATGAGATTTGTTGGCCGGGCGTGGTGGCTCACGCTTGTAATCCCAGCACTTTGGGAGGCTGAGGCGGGCGGATCACGAGCTCAGAAGATCGAGACCATCCTGGCTAACACAGTGAAACCCCGTCTCTACTAAAAATACAAAAAAAAATTAGCCGGGCGTGGTGGCGGGCGCCTGTAGTCCCAGCTGCTCGAGAGGCTGAGGCAGGAGAATGGCGTGAACCCGGGAGGCAGAGCTTGCAGTGAGCCGAGATTGCGCCACTGCACTCCAGCCTGGGGGACACAGCGAGACTCCGTCTCAAAAAAAAAAAAAAAAAGACATGAGACTTGTTAAACTAAAATAACCTACTGTTAGCTCTTGTAAACATTTTCTTTCTACATTACATATAAGTGGTCTTCTTGGGATATGTTAATGGTTAATTTTAAATTTTAAATCTCAAGCACTTCTTTATAATCTGTAGGCAAAGTTACAAAGGAGTACACAGAAAAAACAAAAACCACATCCCGCAAAACACTCAACATTGTTGAACAATTTACAGGGTAAATTCAGAGCACTTCTATGACCCAAATGCAGGAAGCAGGGAGGGTAGAAAATGAACATTTTGTTCTTCTAAGCAGTGGTAATGAAGGTGCAGCCCTGATTTTAATACCTCAAGAAAGCATACAATTGTTATAAAATTATGTTAGCTATTATAAGAAACAGACTTGAGTGATCTAGAATGAGTATATTAATACATTTTATTTCTTTTTATAGTCGAATGCTTAGCCAGAATAAATGCTAATTTATACCTTGTAGACATCACTCTTATTAGTAATGGGTATGGACTTGATTCTTCAAGTAACTAACATAATAATGTACCTTTTGAGATTTGCATGATATATTAGGAGGGGTGCAGCAAACTGAAGACTAATAGGCACAGTATAATCATATTTTTATGATAATAAAAAGCATATAAATACAGGGAGGCAGAGGACAAGGGCAAGGACAGTTTACAAATGCCTAAAAACTGATGAGCAAGAATACCCATAAAATCTGTCAAGAGTGGATGGTAGCCTGGAGGGCCAGGCCATTAATGATTATAAGAAGGGCTACTTTTCTTTCCATATTTTTTAAATTAAGTCCTATTTTTTAAACAGACATTATGAATCATGTTGCATAATTACAGAAAAAGTAAAACTGACTCTCTTCAACTAAAAATAAAGGCATTTCAAATATCAAAATAAAAAGTTTTCCTGGGTTGAAACACATGTCAAATGTCCTGTTGTTTTCCACACATCCAAAGAAATATACATGTGCATATATGTATGAAAGTTTAACTTTTTATTAATGTAAAAAATTTCAAAGGAAAATCTATTCCAGAGAAAAATATTATTTTTCAATCTGTAAGTTCAGGAAACTATGTAAACTGAAAATATGAAAAGAACAATTTAAACTCAACCAAAATGCCATGCCTTGGCTTTCCAAAAGAGGGAGATATAACTTCACTGCCACAAACATATCAATGTGACACATAAATGATCTACTCAAATACAGAACTTATCTAGAAAATAATTTTAAGGAAAAACTCTAAATTATGTGTTTATTTTAGCCTTATGATTTTAATTGCCTAAAAAGCACAGTTAAATCTATGAAAAATATCATGATCTACAATAATAAAATGAAAGCTGTTCCAGCTCCTTTAGAGAGCTCAATTGTAGAATAAAAATGTGACAAAAGACTTATAGTATTTAGATTTTGAAAAATAGGTTTAGAGATGACAGATGTCAGCTACTAAAATTTGTACCTTCTGATTGTTATTTGAAAATTAAAATTTAATATTATTCTGAACTAGAGACAGAATGCTACTCATTTCTTACAATGATTATTAAAATTCTCTTATTTCCTTGAGCAGTGGTTTGTTGCTCTCGTTGAAGAGGTCCTTCACATCCCTTGTTAACTGTATTTCTAGGTATTTTATTCTCTTTGTAGCAATTGTGAATGGGAGTTCATTCATGATTTGGCTCTCTGCTTGTCTATTGCTGGTGTAAAGGAATGCTTGTGATTTTCGCACATTGATTTTGTATCCTGAGACTCCACTGAAGTTGCTTATCAGCTAAAGGAGTTTTGGGGCTGAGATGATGGGGTTTTGTAAATATAGAAACATGTCATCTGCAAACAGAGACAATTTGACTTCCTCTCTTCCTTTTTGAATACCCTTTATTTCTTTCTCTTGCCTGATTGCCCTGGCCAGAAGTTCTAATACTATGTTGAATAGGAGTGGTAAGAGAGGGAATCCTTGTCTTGTATCAGTTTTCAAAGGGAATGCTTCTAGCTTTTGCCCATTCAATATGATATTAGTTGTGGGTTTGTCATAAATAGCTCTTATTATTTCTAGGTATGGTTTATCAATGCTTATTTTATTGAGAGTTTTTAACATGAAGGGATGTTGAATTTTATCAAAAGTCTTTTCTGCATCTACTGAGATCATCATGTGGTTTTTGTCCTTGGTTCTGTTTATGTGATGGATTACATTAGTTGATTTGCATATGTTGAACCAGCCTTGCATCCCGGGGATGAAACTAACTTGATCTTGATGGATAAGCTTTTCTGATGTGCTGCTGGATTCGGTTTGCCCGTATTTTATTGAGGACTTTTGCATTGATGTTCATCAGGGAAATCATTCTACTCTAAAGACACATGGTCATATATGTTTATTGCAACACTATTTACAATGGCAAAGACATGGAACCAACCCTAATGCCCATCAATGATAAACTGGATAAAGAAAATGTGGTACATACACACCACGGAATACTATGCAGCCATAAAAAGAAATGAGATCATATCCTTTGCAGGGACATAGATGAAGCTGGAAGCCATCATTCTCAGCAAACTAACACAGGAACAGAAAACCACACACTGCATGTTCTCACTCATAAATGGGAGTTGAACAATGAGAATACACGGGGAGGAGAACAACACACACCAGGGCCTGTTGTGGGGTGGGGGTGAAGGGAGGGAACTCAGAGAACGGGTCAGTAGGTACAGCAAACCACCATGGCACACGTATATCTATGTAACAAACCTGCACGTTCTGCATGTGTATCCCAGAACTTAAAGTAAAATCAAAATAAAAAATGAAAATAAAGCTATATTAATCAAAAATAATAATAATTAAGATAACAGGTATACACTGGTACTGTTCAGGCAAAGCAGAATGTAGGGTGAGCCAGTAATAAAAGTACTTACTGTATCGAGTTCTTGTAATGAGTCAATGACAAAATATATGTAAATTAGTTAGCTGTCAATGGGAAACATTCAGTAAGTGGTAGCTGCTTATGTTGGTATTTTTCATGCCTCCTACTTGAGCTAACAAAGCAAAAAAATCGATGAGCTGTTTATTCTTATCTTTTAATAGATGATGCTGGGTCTAGTAATGAGGTAATGAGTGTTTAATAATATAATCATACAGAGCCCTCTTTGAGAGGGAAAGGAGCTTTATGTCTATTTAGTTATGTTTATTACAGTGATTCTCCACCAAAAGAAGGAAAATCTGTTTTTCAAATTTAAAAACTTGAAACAGCCCATCCTGCCTCTTCCACACACCTAGCTCCTTAGCTTGATAGTTACTTCCACAGGAAGCTGCTTCTACTGAGTGGACTGTGTCCTAGCTCTTAGGCTTATTGGAGCAGATAAAAATTAAAAATAACTCATTTATTAGATTATTTCCTTAAAGGCAGTAATTTTTAAAATTCTGATTCCCTATGCATATTACAGTACCAGGTACACAGAAGATACTCAACACATATTTGTTGAACTAGTGAAAATATGAATAAATAGAACTCGGCAGCTAAAAATCAACCTTATGAGGTGATAGACTGTAGTGTAACCCTGCAACCAAAGCTCCACTATGATTGGGAACTTTCCTCGGCTTCAACTAGAACATTTGAGGGTCACAGAATCAAGGAATTCAGAGATTTCACAGCTGCAGCTGGTGCCAAGGAGCTGTTTGCTATTTAGATTAGTTCTCTTAGTTAATTGATTGTAACAAGTAAAAACTCAGTAAAGTTAATCTGCCAATTATCTCAAAAAAATAAAAAGGAAACAGGCAGAAAAAATTCCTGCAACACTTTTTAAAAAGTAGTAAGTTCAGTTCTCAAAAAAAGTTCCGAACCTAAAACAAAGGTTAAAAAAACAGCCATTAAGACTTAAAGCAGCAATGAAAACAATAATAGTTGCCTTGCCACAGTTTCTATAAAATTAGCCCTTATAAACTATCGAAGAATCAAATTATTTGATTTACTTCTTCAAAGACTGAGTCTCAAAATGGCTTTAACACTCAATAAATATCTTTTGAGTGTCTACTCTGCCAGGCACTGTTCAAAGAATTGAGAGTATACAGGAGTAGGAAAAAAAAAACACACACACACACAGCAAAGGCCATGCTCTCATGGAGCTTATACTGACATGGAAAGGGGATTATTTATATTAAATTTTAATTCCTCTTATTGTATACTGTCAGTATTTTTCTCTTTTTCACTATAGATTAAAAGGAACCTTGACTGCCATCTCTTGCTAAACATCTTCTTATCCCAAACAATATTCTTCTCTGCTTACTATTATAATGTGTGGCAATATCTTATTAAATTTTACATACACTTATAATTTCATTATTTATAAAATATTTTTAACAACCTACAAAATAAACATACTGTGCATTTTGATTTAATATATTTAAGTAACTCTGAGTTAATATTGTTAAATAACAAATACCAATAAAAACAACTCAATCATAGGATTTATCATGGTAAATGTCTAAGGAAGGAAGACACAAGGGACATGGAAATATTATATAATTATATGACCATGGAGTAAAATCAAGTAAGTGTGAAAAGATTTAGATCGCTTCTCTTATAATCAAATGCCTTAAATCTGTAATCCAGACTTTGGAACCCATCCTTCAGACATCCCTTGATGAGACAAGAGCAGCCGACTCTAACTGCTCTGCAGACCTTGAATGCAAAACCACATGGTCAACGAAAGCAGAGGGAGTGTGGAGGACGCTCAGCCTGCCTCCAACAGGGAGACCCCTGGGCTAATTCAGGTGGCTTTATCACAGAAGAATATGATAAACAAGACCATACCACCAGCATGTCAGAGGCCAGAAAGAGGAAGAAGCAGAAGAAGCAGTCTCCAAAATGCATGCGCGTCCAACACAGCATCCCCTCCCACATCAATTTCACCCGACCTCTTTACAGATAAAAATCCTCTCTACATTGGCTGATTTGAAGACAGGTTTCATTTTTCCATTAAACTTTCCGTTTCCCAAGCTAAAGTTTTACAATTACTCAAAATCACTTTTAATATATCATTTCTTATATAATGTTTCCAAACTTGTGATAATAATACAACTAAGTTTGGTTCCTTACCAGCCAAACAATTCTAATCTAACCCAGTTCAACTCAAGACTTCCTCCTAAATTTCCCTCTATTTGTACATTTAGACTGTTTCTCCCACAATTATCATGCATCAGTTGTACATTCTAATAGTTTAAATCAAACTTGGCAAACAAGATAAAAAGAAAATGATAAGTTCAAGAAAAAATAGGAGGGAGGAAAGTACCTTTAATTTGGATCCATGAGGCACGAGTACAGATTTATTCTGCTTTGGTGGGATATACAGCTCCCATTTTCCATAATCCAGTTTTTTGTATGGGTACGAAAATGGATTCCAACCATCTAAAAAAATGAAGAAGATCAGTTAACAACAGCATGATAGGACTAATAGTTAATGAATTTCAAGAAAAACAAAATACTGCTTTACTTGCACAAAAAATCAAATTGTCTAAAATAATTGTTTTCTGAAGTGTTAATCAAAATACTAGTGGTTTAGAAAAGGCAGGTTATTCTTAATTTATTTATAAAAAATGCATTTTAAAGTGTGCTTTTGCATTTTATAATTAAATTAAGACTATAACATTTTCAGTTGTGGTTTCAACTCTAATACTTCTGTCAATAAACAGAATGCAAAAGAAAATGATGGATCCTTTTTTTAGAAAACACCATCAACAAAGAGACATATTATGAACAAACAAATGTACATGCCATGGTAGAAAAATAATGACAAACCATTAAAATCATATAACATTTACTGAATTTCATAAGAGTGTGACAGAGCTGACATAAAATCTAAAGAAATGCCTTAAGCAAGAAAGGTAGAAGGTTATATAAAGTATAGGAAGTAAAGAAAAGGTGGAATGCAGAACGTGGAAGAAAGTAAAACCAACAAGAGCAGACTCACACACACGACACTTAACGTATCATAAGGGAGGCATTAAAAACCAGTGAGTAAAGGACACACTATTTAATAAGTGGTGCTGGAAAAATTGGTTATCCTTATGAAAATAAAATAAAATAGATCTCCACCAACTAGTATGTCCCCAAATCATTTGAACATGGATTAATACTTATACATGATAGGCAGAACCATAAAATGCTTAGAAGAAAATACAGAGAAATATATTTACAATATTGGAGTATAAAAGGTTCTTTAAGTAAAATGTTTTTAAAACTATAAAACTTTTAAGACTGATAATTCTGACCATTAAAACTATAAACTTGTCATCATAAATAGATGAATCGATAGAATGACAAGACAAGCTATAAATTGGGAGAATACATTTGTAGTGAATATACCAAAAGAGAGAGAGCATCCATAATACATGAAGAACATTGTAAGTCAATGAGACAAAGAAAACAAATCAAGAGAAAAATTGATAAAAAATATATTCAGGAGAGGACACTTGAATGGCCAATAAACATGTAATGATACTCAAGCTCACTGTTTAATCAATCACAAATTAAAACAACAATAAGATATCATTTCGCACTCAGGACATTGGCAAAAATTAAAAGTTTAAAAATATCATCTAGTCAGCAACGATATAAAACATTGCTGCTGAGGGTATCATTGGTAAAAACAACTTGGTATCATATGTGATGCGAAATTGAAGATATCTTAACCCCACAGCCCGACAATTCAGCTCCTAGGAAATAGTTCAGAGAAATTCTCCTAAATGTACACAAGAAGGCATTCAAAATTATTCCCTGAAGAATCTTTTGTCATAGCCAAAAAACTGGAAGCTATCAAAATTTCAACAGCCACAATATGGGTAAAACCTTGTAGTATAATTAAACAACTGGATGCTATACAATGGTATAAAATGAATGGATTATAGTACCAACATATGCAAATATCCCACACACAAAAGTTAATTTTAAAAGAGTACAGAAGAATAGCATTTATATCAAGATCAAGAACTATCAAAACATTATATGAAACTTATTGATACATAGGTATGTAGTAAAAATATTAAATCAGAAATATGAATATGAAATACCAAATTCTATGGTGATTCCCTGTGGGTAGAAGAAAGGGAACACAAGAAGCTTCAATAATATCTGTATTATTTTTTGTTAAAGTGAGTTGTATACACATAGATGTTTATTACATTATTTACTATTTGTTTATGCCTAAAATATTTCATGGCATTAACAAAAAATCAAGCAGCCTTGTGGCATATACTGGGTCGCTAAGACATTACATTCTCAACTAAGGACATAATAAAGGAATAATCAGGAAACTCATTTTATGCCATTTTTTCTTCCATTACATATTTCACTCTTCTCTCTCAGCCAGTCTGAATACCGGGGGTAAAACAGGAGTAAGAAATAAGATTTAAATAAAGGTTCTTCTAAACAGTTACCTATTCTCCATCATGAAGACAACCTGAAAATGTCTAACAGCAGTTTATCTTCAAGGGCAGCTCTACAAGTTTGGTGCTGCTATACTCCTCTTCACCTAAAAACCTCAAATACATCTCACCTATACATGCTGTGACATTCCATTACCAAAACAAAGAGTTTAGTCCATAATTAGAGAAAAAATAATAATAAAAGCTTGGAATATAAAAATCTAGGTACTAGAACACTATATGATTCCTGCATTTCTTTTTAGCTAATCACTTAAGACAAGCAGCAGATCTTTTCCCGGTTAGGTAGAACTGAAAATAAAGGGTATAGTTCGTTAGTTCATTCATTCATTCATTAAATATGTACTCCGTGCTTAATGCAGGCCCTGTTCAATGCCAAACCAAATTTAGTGCTCTAAATTCGTCATATCTCATAAAGAAAAGGTTAAATTGAGTTATAATAGACCAATATAAATGAGAAAATGTACAATGGTGAATCCACTAAAAAATTTATTAAAAGATTTGGATATTTTGAAAGTGAAATTCAATGATATGTGAAATTTAGATATGCAGATTTATTTGTAAGAGCTGTTTTCAGCACTGTGAAAATGGTTTCCAATATCAGTTTTTGAAAATTGATGAACTAGTTCTTTAGCTTGGTATCAACTATTGTTTCAAGATTATTTAAATAAGCAAAGTATTAATATTTGATAAAGAAAAATACTTTAACTATGTCGCATTTTTCTTTTATAATAGTTTAATTATATAAAACTCCAAAGCACATGCTGATTACTTGTAATTATACACTGTAAAAAACTTTTTTTCTTTGCATCTTCAAGAGTTTCATTTTAGTAATGCCCCTTTCCTCATGGGAACTCAGGTGTTGGCTTTCGCTGCAGGTACTCTTTTCTTGCCAAACACAAATCTTTAAAGCAAGACTTAGAAAATCTTTACAATATTTACCCCCACCCAAAAAAATCCAGTACATTAGCCATCATAAACTATGTAGAGCATACTAAAGATTTCATATGGGAGAGAAAGAAGGTCTGCAAGCATATATGTATGAAACTATTTAAGACTTTTCCATTAGTCCGTTTTCTCTCCAAATAAATCCCTCTTCAGCTACCCCACCATCAGTTTTTCCATCTCCTTGGCTCTTTCTCCAATCATTGCTAAGCCCTAAATTCTCCTCTTTCTCATTCCTTTATTAGTGTTTCTTCTTTCCATTAAAAACATGGGCACCAACCAGAATATCCACTTCTACCACACTACATCACACAAAGGATTTTTTCCAATAAAACCAGTTCCTGCCTTATATGAGTTTCTCAAAATATCTAATAAAAACAGCTTTACTCCACAGAATACACATATCTTAATATCCAGAAACAGAATAATCAGGAAAATCATTGGATTTGGATCTGTGCTTATAAACTTAACATTAAACACTTAGCTAAGAAAGAAGGAACTATCATTAAGGTGTATCCAGGTGTAATTGCAGGAACCAATCATGGAAGCACACAGTTAAAAATAAATACATAAAATTCAACCTCAAATTATTGGTATAAAATACTGAAAATTGATTTTAAGTAAAATTTGATTTAGAAAAACACAGAAGGCAAAATAATATAAGCTGGTAGACACATTTTAGGGAAATGCATGTCTTGTGAAATAAGTCATGTGACTCTACTACAGAATATAATTGAAAATAAAGTAATAATATTAATAATAATAAATAGTACCAAGCCATATCAGAGCCTATCTAAAGACATATTTATAAAAAAATCAGGTTACTCAAACTTTTTTTCATTTAATCCTACACAACTTATGCTGAGTACATGAGAGAGAATTAATTATGTAATGCAAAGAGTTTGCATTGCTATGCAGACCTGAGGATGGAAATAAACATGACTCTTCATCATGTGTGACAATCATTTGCTTCTCTACCAAGCATAGAACTACACATAGAACTAGAAAGGTCTCTATCTAGGTCAGTGGGTTCTCAAACTATAGTTTACATGAGAATCACATGGATTTGTTAAAATACAGATTGCTGGGTCCCAGTCCTAGAGTTTTTTATAAAGATCTTTGGTGAGGCCTAATAATTTGCATTTCTAAAAAGGTCATAGGTGATGTTGATGCCAGTGGCCTCAACTTTAGAAACCAGGGACTACACTTTAGAAACAACTGCCCTAGTTAAATTGATGTGTTTGCGTGTTCTCTACTTAACAGTTTTGTGAGTAATTTTCTAGATGAAGTTAAACTAAAAGGCTATCAAATAATATAATATATCAACAGGTCAAGGGACTTCTGAAATCAAAAATGTCATAAATAATCCTTTGAGGCTAGTGTTAATCACATGAAATATAGGATTTAAGATTTAGGATTGACTGGGGTTGTAAAGCCCAGGAAGGATGACCAGTGAGAATCAGATTAAACACACAATCTCAGAGATCAAGGAATTTAAATGTATTAATGTGAGGGAATAGAAATGATAATCAGAACATGAGAAGACAACATGCGTTAAAACCATTATTGAATATACTATTATTAGTGTCTACAGATAATATTCTCTATGATATTCACACCGAAACATTGCTTGGTTAAAAAGTATAAGCAACTGATAACAAAATGAATAAAAATTTAAAGGTTTATTTTTCCCATAGAAAAGTGATATTAAACCTTTTAAATGTTAACAATATTAACTCATATTCCTGTCTACTCTTCATTATCTACCATAACCTAGATATTGCTAGGCTCAAAGTTAGGTACCCCCAAAACAATGTGTGCTTATTATTTCAGTTTTGGCAAAATTTTAAGAACATGTTTCCTATACGCATAAATTATTTTATTACAACATCTGCTAAAACATTTGATGTTTATCAAGTAAAGAAAACCTGATACAGTTCTCTGTTTTAATGATAAAATGTTAAAATGTATTAAAACTTAGGTATACAAATAAAGACCATACAGGCACTATTTACAATTGAGATAAATGTAAACAAATATAAAGATCTTTATGATGATCCACTTTCACTTAATGAATAGTAAATATATTTTCTGTTTCTTATGATTTTCTTAATAACATTTTCTTTTCTCTAGCTTACTTAGTTGTAAGAACACAGTATATAATACATATAATGTATAAAATAAATGCTAATCAACTGTATGTTATTGGTAAGGCTTCTTGTCAACAGCAGCATATTAGTAGTTACGTTTTGGGGGAGTCAAAATTTATACTCAAACTTTTGAGTATGTGGGGAGTAGGCACGCCTAGCCCCCACAGTGTTCACAGGTCAGCTGTATAGTCTTGGAGCAACATTTAGGAACCTCCAAGAATGTAGAAAGGATTCTGATACTCTTATGCTTGTCTAGTTTCTCTTGATAGAAACTTTTGGGGTGGCATATTAATGTTTTTGTTTACATTGTGACTAAGTGGCATTCTTGGAGTCCAGCGTATTTTAATTTGCAGTCTTAAGTCTGGAATAAAGGTAGATTTTAATTATAAATTAAAATAAAATATTTCTAGGAATCACTCGGCAATTAATATGTACTAATTACTCTTTTAAAATAAAAATATAATGTATATAAACATAGTATTTGAACATCTCTTACTAAAGAAGGTCTTACAGAGCTAATTTACAATAATTAATTTTTTTTGGCCTTCTGTATTTTTCTTTATTTTCTTTTTTATTTTACTTAAGTGCTGGGATACATGTGCAGAACGTGCAGGTTTGTTACATAGGTATACATGTGCCATGGTGGAAAACCTGATATATTTCTAAAGCAAATATTTTAATAGGTATTTTATTAACAGGTTTAAATTCATCATATCTGATAAGGCATAAGATTCTATTTGTCCACAGACTCAAAACAAGCTGACAAAATTTAAATCGAGATATGGAAAAGAAACAGTGTGATGCACAGTTTAATATGAACTGCAAACACACATTCGGCAAAGGTGATCAAACATTAACTAAGGTCACTGTATCAGGCACACAAACTCTATGTTTATCTCATACCCAACAACCTTTCCTTTTCAAATGTACTAATCCTCACATAAAATTCTCAAATGTCAGCCTCCTTCAAACATTCCCAAACTCTTTGATTCACAGTGGAGCACTACTCTTCATCAGCACTTAGCCACTTCATTTCTGCAGCGTTTTTGAGTTTAATATAAATTTTCCTTAAACATGGCTGAAAAGGTTCCAATTTAGTATGTAGGGCCTTCCATTTTTCAGGAAGATTCCAATGTGCTAAAGAGTTTGGTTTGCACTTGGGCCAATCCCTGCCACACCCAGACAAGCAGTGAGGCAAGATGTCTGGCAAATGCAATAGGCGAGGCTAATATACAAAGGCTAATATAAAGTCAGTACTAGCCCATATGGCAGATATCAATCCCATCCCATCTGAAAGGATATCCTCGGGTCAAAACAGTTGTTAAATATCTGGAATATCACCACTTTGGAGCAAGGAAACATCCTTCCTCATCATATGATGTCATTTAATTACTTTGTATCATGCAGAATGTATAAGAAATTATAATGCAAAGGCTTATAAAGATTGAAGTTTGGCTACTTAACTTGTATCAAGGAAGAATCTTGTCATAAAGTATAGAGCTGGAATTTCCTATGGCATTGTTCTTACCCAGGATTATGAGAGAACCACTCAGTGTCTGGGGGGTGACTGACAGTAGTCCTTTCTGACATATTGCCCTGTGCTGTTTGATTTTCTCTCTTCCCCTCCAGATAATTCTTCCTCCTCTCAGTTGGGTGCAAAGGAATCACCCTTCTTCAACTTCTACTGGCAGCTAGTACCCTGGGAAGGACCTTAGTAAGACACTTCCCCTCCCTATCACTATTACCTTGGGGAAACTACTCTTAACACATATTAGTTTAGCTTAGGTGTGGTTTTCAAGAACAATCTCTAAAGTATATCAGAGTGCCACTAAATTCAGAACCAATGGAATACTAATACCTCATTATTTAAACAAACATAGTGCTCAATCATGTATATCTAGCTTTCTGGAAATTAGAAAATAAATCAAATACAGTCATTTGTTCATTACTTAAAAATGGGGATACATTCTGAGAAATGTGTCATTAGGTAATATCATTATGGTGTAAACATTATAGAATATACTTATGCCGGCCTACATGGCATAGCCTACTACACACCTTGGCTGTATGGTATAACTTATTGTTCCTAGACTACAAACCTGTATGACATGTTATTGTAATGAATACTGTAAGCAGCTGTATCACAATGGAATATCTGAGTATCTAAACATTAAAAAGGTGAAGTCAAAGTAAAGTATTATAATCCTATGGGACCACCTTTGTACACGCAGTCCCTCATCAACCAAAATGTCATGCAGCATATGACTAAGACCTAGAGCTTCACTTACTAAATTGTTATTTAAGGGATTTATGGGAGAAAATAGTTTTATTATCAAAAAACTGTGGTTTTAAATAAAAGTATGTGTCTTTATTTCTAAAACAGTATTTACATTATGGTACTTTCTATGTAACAAAGGGGATGATAAATGGATATACCTCATTGCTTGTAATTTTAACAATGTTTCATCAAGAAACAGTATTTATACTATGATTCTTCTCATGTAAGAAAGGGATTGATAAATATTCTTGTTTATGATTTCCAAAAGCACAAAATACAGCAAAGAATGCATAGAAATTATTCTGAATATGAGAAGAAAATGCACAGATTAGTAGTCTTCCAGGATTGTACTCATTATATTTTGACTACAAAACCATGTAAATAATTCATAAAATGGGAAAACTTAATAAGTTAAAAAGAAGAAAAAATAAGAAAAGCCCTTAAAATATAAATATGTGGGAATAAATGAATGTAATTGCATATCAATAGTAGCATATCAGGCAATCTGACTCTAGACTGAATATAAAGAAAGTATTGATAATTTTAATAAGGATGATAAGAGTTATTATGTTACCAAAAACATCTACTGATAGTAGGAATTCCACAAAAAAGTATTAATGACGAAATTGTACATTGCCTGAAGTTTGGTTTAAATTATGAAAAGCAAAACAACTAATGTACATCGGGCAAGGGAACAGATGAAACAACACTAGCTAAATATTGATAAGTGTCAAAGCTGGGTGAAAAGAATATAGAACCTTATCTCTATTATTCTACAGAGTAAAATATTTCTGTAATAAAAAAATAAAAATGAATGTTATGAGGTCTCTGTGCACAAATAGGTGTCCAAATCTCTTTTCTTGCTATCAATTATAAAAAGTGATATTATAAAGCACAGGGCATAAGGTTTAATACACTTATGGTTCTGAATACAGATTAACAAACTACTTTCTGGATAGGTAGTTTCCATTCATACTCCAATCAGCTGGATATGAGGATATTCAACCACCCATAACCTCATCAACTCTGGGAATTATCATCTTAATAACAGGGTATGCCTGCCTTGATCAATCAGGGTTCACTAAGAGAATTAAGCCCTAATGTGTTAAGAATCCATTGTATGCAATAAATTAACTTCCCTTCAGTGCATCTAGAATTGTATTAGTTACATATGGTCCTTGGGATAATTTGGAAAATAGGCACTCAAATAATTTTCTGTGTTCTGTGGATCAGATGCAGAATCTTTCATTATTGTTCTAGCTGTAACCAATAGCTTTCGATACAGTTTTCATTTCTTTTCAAAACAGACTATAATTGTAACTCTGATTATTCTCTCCAATGCTATTGTTGCTTGTGAAAAACTGTATGGTGGGTATTATATTTTCCTTAAGATTTTTTCATTAATTTCCAGTTTTATTGAAATGAAGTTCGTCAGGAGGCTTACTTTGTAGCTCAATACAGGGGCAATCAAACTATTTACTTATTTACCAACCTATTTACTTGCAGGAGTAGAAACCATTCAATTATCTCAAAATAGATTTTATGGAGAACTCCAACACTAAAACTATGCAAAGCATATAAAAACAGAGCTGATCTGGCTGAAATGCCTCTATCTGGCCGCGCTTTCTCCTCATTTCTTACCCTCCCTCTCAGAGCCCACCACATGGAACTCAGTTCTAAAAAGTGCTCCAGTGTATAATCTATCTTTGTAGACGTTCCACAGATCCTTGAAAATATGTAATTTCATTTCATTCAAATTCTCCATTTATTTTCAGTTTACTTGACCGGCTGCAAGCTAACAGTATATTAAATACTACCATGACAAGTGAGTTTGAAATGTTACCCAATTTTCGGCTGGGTGCAGTGGCTCACGCCCGTAAACCCAGCGCTTTGGGAGGCCGAGGCGGGTGGATCATGAGATGAGGAGATCGAGACCATCCTGGCTAACATGGTGAAACACCGTCTCTACTAAAAATGCAAAAACAAAATTAGCTGGGCGTGGTGGCGGGCACTGTAATCCCAGCTACTCAGGAAGCTGAGGCAGGAGAATGGCGTGAACCCGGGAGGCGGAGCTTGCAGTGAGCTGAGATCACGCCACTGCACTCCAGCCTGGGGACAGAGCGAGACTCCGTCTCAAAAAAAAAAAAAAAAAAAGAAAATTTCTCCAATTTCACACAATTCATGCCATCTATAATTGACCAAAAATAAACATTATTTAGGATCTAAGGATAATGACATTTATCTTTGCTGTGACTTGCATTATTGATCTCTTTTTACCTAGTATTATGGACTGAAAGTTTGTATGCCCCCCAAATTCATGTTAAAATCCTAACCCCAAATGTGGTAATATTTGGAGATAGGGACTTTCAGAAGGAATTAAATCATGAAGGAAAGCCCTCATGAATGGGATTAGTACCTGTATTAAAGGAATCCCAGAGAGCTCTCTTTCTGTCTCTTGGTCATGTGAGAATACACTGTGAGAAGACAACAGTTTGCAACGCCAGAGAGGGCTCACACCAGAACCCAACCATGATGGCACCCTGATCGCAGGCTTCCAGCCTCCAGAACTGCAAGAAATAAACGTCTGTTGTTTAGAAGCCATCCAGTCTGTGCTACTTTGTTGTAACAGCCCAAATCCACTCAGATACTTGGGTTTGGTTTTGGTCTGAACCTGACTATCCTTTCATTTTGTAATCTCTCAGTAACAGTAAACCAGAGGAAAACTAATGATTACAGCTGGAAAGTGAGACATTATTTGCTTAGAAAGAACACAGAAAGGATAAAGCATGAAGGAGAAGAAATTGTAAGAGAATTGTGAATGCCATATGGTCTATAACCAGAAGTAGCAACAGTCATCCTATGGGCCAAGAATGGCTCTCAAGTATGTTTTCAGTAGCTAGCTAGCTATCCATTTCAACAAACATTTGGGGGCCAGTAGGGGGGCTCTTTTTAGACAGGGAGCACACTGTAGTTCCCTGTTACATGCCATATCACTATCAACTGCAACTTAACTGATTCATCACTTCCTTGGTTTCAGCATGTATTTGAGGTTAGTGACTCTCCTCTATACCCTAAAACACAATCTTCTATCTTAAGATATCCCACCTGACCCAGTCCATGGTGTGGGAGCATGGCAATGGTTTACAGCAATCAAGAAAGCACCTACATAGGTCTCCCTCCTAACCCTATAGCCACTTATGAAAATATACCAATAAAGTTAAAATAATGGTTTCTAATATAGCTAGCAATGTAACAGATAAAAACTCATGTGTCTATGGCCAACTGGTTTTCAACAAGGATGGTTCAATGGTTTTCAACCATTGAATGAGGGAAAGAATAGTCTTTAAAACCAATAGTTCTTTAGTCTTTAAAACCAATAGTTCTGGAACAACTGGATCTCCACATAAAAAAAGAATAAATTTGGATTCCTGCCTCGAAGCATATACAAAACTAACTCAAAATGACTCATGTCAGAACTAAAACTAGAAAACATACGGCAATCTTTGTAATCTCTGTTCTTTAATATCACACAAAAAGTACAAGTAGCAAATGAAAAAAACAGATAATCTGACATCTTCAAAATTAAAATTTTTGCATGTTAAAGGACACTATCAAGAAAGTGAAAAGGCAGTCCACAGAATGGGAGAAAATATTTTCAAATCATATATTTGATAGGGGATGTGAATCTAGAATACAAAAAGAATATTTAACAATTGAATAAAAAAGACAACCCAATTTTTAAAATGAGCAAAGGATCTGAATAGACATTTCTACCAACAAGATGTACAAATGGACAATAAGCATACAAAAGGATATTCAAGGGCTGGGTGTGGTGGCTCACATCTATAATCCCAACACTTTGGTAGGCCAAGGCAGGAGGGTTGCTTGAGGCCAGGAATTCAAGACCACCCTGGGCAACATAACAAGACCCCATCTCTACAAAAAATAACAAATTAGCTGGGCATGGTGGCACACGCCTGTAGTCCTAGCTACTCAGGAGGCTGTGGCAGGAGGATTGATTGAGCCCAGAAGGTCAAGGCTGCAGCCAGCCATGATCACACCACTGCACTCCAGCCTGGGTGGTAGAGCAAGGCTCTTTCTCAAAAATAAATAAATAAATAAATAAAAATAAAAATAGTCATAAAAAAGGGTATTCAACATTATTAGTCATGAGGAAAATACAAATACAAATCAAAACCACAATGAGATACCACTTCATGCACACTAGGATGGCTAATGGATAATAAGTGTTAGCAAAGATATGGAAAAATTTCAAACCTTATATACTACTGGTGGGAAGATAATACAGTGCAGCCCCTTTGAAAACTCTGGAGTTCCTCAAAAGCTAAAGACAGAGTTACCATTAGACACAGCAATTCCACTCCAACCTGGATATCCAATTGAAATGAAAACACATGTCAACACAAAAACTTGAACATAAATGTTCATAGTAGAATTACTCATAATAGTCAAAATGTGAAAACAATCCAAATGATCATCACTAAATGAATAAACAAAATGTTGTATATTAATAGAATGAAGTATTATTTGGTCATTAATAGGAATGAAGTACTAATACACACTACAACATGGAACCTTGTACACATGCTAAGTGAAAGAATCACATCACAAAAAAACACATATTATATGATACCATTTATATGAAATATTGAACACCAGCAGATTCATAGACACAGAAAGTAGATCAGTGGTTGCCTAGTGCTGGGGAAACGGTAGGATGATAGCTAAAGGGTATGGCATTTCTTTTGGGGCGTTGAAAATGTTCTAAAATGAACTGTAATAATGGTTGCACAACTATTTTATTATACTAAAAACCATCAAATTGTACACTTTAAAATGGTGAGCTGTATGCTATGTGAATTATATCTCAATAAGGCTGTTAAAAAATAAAACTTTTTTTAAAAGTCAGGTAGCCTTTATTCATTCACTTCTACTGAGCTTTTGCCCTAGAATAAAATCAGGTTCTGTTGGAGATACCGTAAAGGAAAAGACCACATAGTGAGATATATAAAAATTTAATGCTGAATAGTTAGCTTGCTCAATAAGTAGAATAAAGACTCAGGATGGATAGCTGAAGACTCTATGAAGAAAAAATGATTAAAAATTTTCAAGGCTTTTGCCAAGGTAGAACAACTTAACAACATTCAAAGCTATAAACAACAGGCTTTTTACTCAAATGAAAATAGGTATCCTCTTCTCAAACCCAGATTAATTAGTGGTGGCTTCAGAGGTGATTACCAACTTAAGCAAACTAGGCTAATGATGATGATGTAAGAACTTATCTTTTACTCTGAATGAGACCTATAAGGAACACAGATCTGAAACTTTCACATGGCTCCTAAATGTTTTGCTATCCAGACACATGTTTGGTAACCAATGCCCTATGTTATTATTTAAGAAACCTGACAAAGAATTGAGGGAGGGATTTTCTTTCATTTTCCATATACATTTCATATATATTTGAGGAAGGAGAGCTGTGAACAACTTTATATCAAATAATATACTCCCTTTAAAAAAATAATTTGAGCAAAGGCCATCTCAAAACTAATGATATAGAAATGAAGAGTCTTATTATGATAGAAATAACAAAATCATTACAACAACAAAAAAAATAGGAAGACTTGGTGACACTGATTCCAGTAGCAGTAGTTATGGATTGTCCTTAGTGCTTGACATTCGACATCTAATTCGATTACCTCAAATGTCCTATAAAGTATCACAATTTTCATTTGATGGATGAGAAAATACACTCCAAGAGGGAGAGTAACAAAGACCAAATCACAGAGCTACTACATGACAGGGCCAGTATTTGAATCATGTTAGTCTGACTCCTGCTTCTGTCTGTGTGTGCTCTTACCCTCTATGACACGTATACAACAATCTAGATTCAGCCCAGCATCTATCTACTGGGTAGAAATGTGGATAATACCTGTCTTAGACAACTCAGGCTGCTATAACAAATACCACAGACTGGGTCACTTAAACAAAAAACATTTATTTTTCACAGTTCTGAAGGCTTTGGAAGTCTAAGATCAGGGTGGCAGCACGGTCCAATTCTTGATAGCTCTCTTCCCAACTTGCAGAGTACTGTCTCCATGTTGTCTCACATGGTGGAAACAGGAATCCTCTCTCTGGGGTCTCTTACATGGGCACTAATCCCATTCATGAGGGCTCTCCCGTCAAGATCTAATTACCTCCCAAAGCCCCCGCCTGCAAATACCATCACATTGGAGATTAGGGCTCAACATATGAATTTTGAGGAGACGCAAACACTCAGTCCACAGCAGAAATTTAACTAGATTTTATGTTTGCCCTCTCAATTAAAGCCATCCTGGAATCTCATGCTTTAGCAATCAAAATTTCTCTATGGAATTTTTTTTTCATAGAAAAGCTCACTAGTACATTTTTGCAAGCCCTGAAAACATTAGGCATGTCAATATAGCAGCTACACCAGAACTAAAGCTACATCAGTCTGTGAAAACAGAGGATCCCCTCAACCACACTGCTGCGATAAGTCACCATCCCCAGCCAAGTAAGTGACAGAGCATGACTCAGGCTACTCTCTCGATATTCAACCTTAAATGACAACAAAGTGTTCTGTTAATGATTACAACATGCCTAGCATTAACCTTGGTGTTATAGCCTTGTGGAGGATAACAACAAAAGTATCATAAAAGAGAATGACAGCAAGCCAGAGAGACACATAGAGTAAGAAAATAATAAAAATCATGCATTGTACCAAGTAGCTTCCAGTATCTCCACAGAGAGGTAAACTTGTATACTCTACTTCCTTGCAGCAGCAGCTTTTCTATTTCACAGAGAAAACGGGAGCCAGCAGACAAGAACTCCCTCAGCTTTCCACTCTCAAACCTATGCACTGATAAGTGCAGGCACCTTTACCTCCTCTCCTTCAGTCCGTGAGAAAGACAAGTTTTTTGTTGTTGTTGTTGTTGTTGTTTTGTTTTTGTTTGTTTTTCTCTTGTTCAAGGCTAATTCCTTGATTCCATTTTTGTTGTTGTCTTCTGTTTGTTTGTTTGTTTTTTGGTTTGATCATGCAATGGCATGATCTCAGCTCACTGCAACCTCCACCTCCCAGGTTCAAGCAGTTCTCCTGCCCCAGCCTCCCAAGCAGCCGGGATTACAAGCACCCGCCACCATGCCCAGCTAATTTTTTTATTTTTAGTAGAGACAGGGTTTCACCACGTTGGCCAGGCTAGTCTTGAACTCCTGATCTCAGGCGATCCATCTGTCTCGGCCTCCCAAAGTGCTGGTATTACAAGCGTGAGCCATTGCGCTCAGCGATTCCAATCTTTTCTTTTCTCTTTTGTACATTTTTTTTCTAATGTTCTGATGTTTTCAAACATGCCCTCAAGCTCTTTAGTCTCAGCATTCAAATAGGATGAATTGATGCACTGGCTGAAAGAACATTAACAACAATGAAGAAAACCTCTCTTTTTGATCCAAGTCATTCTCTGGCTATCCTACCATTGATAGACCAATTTCCTAACTGCCATCTCTACTTCCTCATATCTCTTCAGCTGCTAAAATGTGTCTGAAATACTCTGGCAAAGGTCACCACAGACTTGAAAATTTCGAGTCCCAACAGTTCTCTCCAGACTTCAAGTGGCATGCATTTTCACTGGCATTGGAAACTCCTGGTTCCCCCTCCTTGGGCTTCAGTGATACCCATCTCAACTGGTTCTCTCAAACCACAACAATGAAGATGGGGATGAAAACGAAGGAGTGCATTTGAAAGCTACTTCCTTGGTAAGACAATTGTTTGGTTATTAGGGGTGGCAGAGAAAAATAATGTTTCGCTTTTGTGGTTCTTTAAATGGGACAGAGAATATGAAAGTAAGAGAGAAGGGAATTTTAAGAAACTAGAAGTAGTCATCTACAGCATCTACTACAACATCTACTACTGCAGGAAGATAAAGGAAGAAAAGATACCTATATGGAGGCGGGAGGGAAGGAAGGTAAAATAGGGAATGCAGGTACATGGGGTCCTAACATCTACCATTATTTTTGTTTCTTATTGCAAAAGAAGGATGTATTCTGCATAGAAAAAATATATAGATAAATTTTAAAGACACTGGCCGGGCGCAGTGACTCACGCCTGTAATCCCAGCACTTCAGGAGGCTGAGGTGGGTGGATCACCTGAGGTCAGGAGTTTAAGACCAGCCTGACCAACACGGAGAAACCCCATCTCTCCTAAAAATACAAAATTACCCGTGTATGGTGGCGTATGCCTGTAATCCCAGCTCTCTGGAGGCTGAGGCAGGAGAATCGCTTGAAACTGGGAGGCAGAGGTTGTGGTGAGCTGAGATCACACCATTGCACTCCAGCCTGGGCAACAAGAGCGAAACTCTGACTCAAAAATAAAATAAAATAAAATAAAATTTAAAAACACTAAAACATACGCAAACCACATCCACCTCTACATTATTAATGCCTTAGTATAAAATCTTCTCATTCTTATTACGTAGGTATTTATATGCATATGCATGTGTCTATATAGTATAAAATATATATAAAAGTATATACATACACTTTTTTAACTTACAATTTTGTAACCTTTTGTCACATACTACACGGTCAGCATCACCCATATTAATACATATTCATTTATTACAGTATTTCCCCAACCTGGTTATCTTTAAAAGTTCGAAAACAATAAATACTCTACTATAGATCCGTCAATCAGATCCAGGAGTGGATCTTTACTTTTATAAGCTCCCTACATGTTTGCTATGCACACACAGGTTTTCTAACCGATAGTCTATGGTATCATTCTAGAAATCTGACAGAGAAATGAAAGAGGTATGTCTTTCGTTCTAATATATTTAAGGAAGAAGAATGATGAACAACTTTATATGCAGAGGGAAAGAAAGCAGCAGATGGAGAGGCTGAGGGGAAAAGAAGAGGCAAACAGATGTACAATATTAAGGACGCAAAAGAAAATGGGATTCAAAGTATGGATCTGTGACAGCAATTTCTTCTACCAACTTTTGAAAGCACATGGAAAAGATAAATATATAGAGATATTTTTAAGAAAATGATTGGGAAGTCGAAAATTTTCCTTTCTGGTGGCTTCTCTTTTCTCTGAAAAGTCAAGGCAACTATTACGTGAATGAAAAATGAGGAGGTAGTAAAATAACAGATTCTGAGGAGAGCAGTGAAACTGAAATAGCTACCATGGAGAATGTAAGAAAGAGCAGGCTCGGGGTGTGCAAATGATTTCTGTGGAATGTTGATGGCCATGATTCCGTAGAAGCAGCAGTTCACATCTCTATGTGATTTTCCTCACTGTTCCCAAAAGCTATGCAAAAGCAGAGAAAAAATTAGACTTTACAGATTTACAAGGTGAGCACGGTGGAAGCTCAAGGTTCAAAAGAGATGAAACGTTGAAAAAGAGATCAAGGAGTCTGGAGTAGCATCAAAGAAAAGTAGTCACGTCACAAAACATCGTAGATCGAGACGCCCCATTCAGTCTGGAGTATTTAGCATCATGGAGTTTAAAACAGAAAAATTCTGCCACAGCAATCTTTATACCTTTTACACAATAAAGTTTGATAATGCTTTCCAAAAATTCTGCTCATCACTCACCAGCAGCTTCATTCCACACCAAAAAATCTTGCTTGCTACCCCATCACCTTTCCTAAGCATATCAAAACCTCTAAAAAGCAGAGCCATTCTAACAGATCTGCAGATGCATGAGTGGAAAATAAATGCTTACTATTGTTACACAAAGTATGGAAATAGTGTGCTACTCCGCACTACAGTGGATATAGCTGACTGGTGCACCAATTAAGAGTGATAACTCCCTCTGAACTCCCACAAGTAGCCTAAACCTACATCTACCATAGCACTTACTAACTACACTTAATACATTTGCTTATACATAGCACTTACTAATTTGTCTATATTGATTTGTTCTTCCCTTGACTGCCAGCTTTCTGAAGGTAGGGATCAAGTTTTATTCTTCTTTGTACCCCAACGCCTAACACAGAATCACCCACAGAATAAGTACTCAACAAGGATTTACTAAAAGAAATTTTCACCTTTTTATGCCAAATGAAGATGATATTAAGTTAACTTGGCAACTGAACAGGTAATAAAGAATACAATTAACCCAAAAAAACATTTATTTTTAGTTTTGCAAATAAGCATAAATAGTATTCTTTTAATAAGACTCCATTATATACTAAGATTATATTAATAAGAATTATACCTGTGTTTAGCAAATAATATAAATGATTAAAATGCACAAAAGATTTAGGTGGTTCCTTTTGTTAATCTTTTCAATTACTATGGGTCACTAACCAATTGTGTAGACCAAGATTTAAAAGCAAAATTACAGTAATTTCAAAAAACATGAATGACATGAATGTATTTACTTGTATTTTAAAACAGATCTTAATTTTCTCTTTTATGTCCTAAATGCCAAAAATATTATATATACTATATATATTTAATGCTATATGTAAATTACACAGGCAATTACTATTATGTATATAAACTATATCCATTCAACATATTAAATATCACCATTTAAAAAAAGGAATATTCTAAAATGTTCAATAGGCTATTAATCTAAAAATTCACAAAATGCCAAATTATCTATGCCCAAACACTAGTAGCATCTAAAATAAACCTCTATATGTGATTTCTACATTTATAAGACATATAGGACATAATTTATTAGACTATGTTCCTTTTTTTCTGAAATCTAAAATCCAAGAAAATTGAATCACTTTTAAATGAACCAATGTGTTTATTAGATCTGTAGGGTGTAAGAAAACTTCAATTGCTACTCTATGTCATGCTGATACAGGCATAAACTCTCAGGTTAAACTTCTCTCTTTGTAGTACAAGTTTCAATTTGGATTTTAAAAAGCTTGAGGCCATCAATTTTCACATCTTTCCTCACTCCCATTTCAGAAATCAGGGACCCAAGTTTAGGAAAATACTGGCAAGTTATATGGAGGCTTAACATGTTCAAGAATGAATCTGACTGCCATTAGGGCAATTCCGTTAAAATAAAGAACATTTAATCCACCAACAATTGTCATGTTTTCTGTCTTTAATGTAAGAACCATTTGTTTAAAGTCAAACAAAGTAAATAGTCATGTTTTTTATTAACTACTGATTAGATTTTAAGAACTCTTAAATTTGAAACAAAATCATTAAAATGTTTTTGTCACTTTTAACTACTTCATAAAATAGCCCGCAAGGCCCTGCGTTATCATCTCACACACAGCCTCCCATCACTAGCGGGCGAGTCCACTCCACCATTTTGAACTAAGCCTCTTCCAGCCTCTCTTGATCATTGGCCATATTGAGATAGCCAGGAGGGAAGGGGTGCCCAGAGAAACTCCAACCAGTCTGGGCCCCGGGAGAGGTATGCTCTGTGGCATGTTTGGCTGGGAAGTTAGTGTTGTTTGCAGTGGGGAGGAGCCCGGCCCCTCCTCTTCCTGGGTGGAACCAGGGATTCAATTCAAAGCACACCAGCGGGGATTCTAGCTTTGTGGAGGATCCCTATTTCCCATTTTTTCCCTTTTCACCCAATAAAACTGTGCCTTACTCACCCTTCAAATTGTCTGTGAGCCTAATCTTCCGTGGCTGTGTGACAAGGCCCTGTATTTAGCTGAACTAAGGAAAAGTCATGCAACAATAGGTCCACTAACAAACATTATAAATCTAATGCTCTAGAGACAGAGAACTATGTGCTTTATCTGTGCCTACCCCAGTTTCTAATGAGCACAGTAAGATCTTCACAACTATGAAGTCCTGCCAGAAATAATTGGGTCCTCCAGAAATGAAGTGGACTTAAGTTCTCTGACATCCACTAGACACTCAACACCAACCAAAGTCATATGTTCATCCCCTCAGCGCTAACACTGTGTGTGCATACTTCGTCTCTAAATTCCTCTTACTAAGCTTCGCAAAGAAATGAATAAACTATATCTCAGTTGTAACACTATCAACCAAATAAGACAGGAAGCACTAGATACAAAAATACCAACCAAAAAGTAGTAAGACAGATACTTGTCCAGCTCTGGTACTGGATCAGGCACACAGCAAACAATACATGTGCATTAAATAAACAGTTACCAGAACTACTCACTATTTTATAGTTACATGTACATGCCTGTTTAAAACTACAATAGTAAATTTTTCCAATATATTTATGAAACATTTGCTAATCAATTAATTGGGATATCATTAGCACTTATCCTAACAGAATGAATAACTCCAAGCCATTCCATAACAGCATCGTCACCATGAAACACAAATTTAAATGACGGAAATCCTCTTTTTTGCTGTTGTTGTTTAATAAAAGGGTTAAACCATTTATGACTGTCTTTATTTTGTTTCTATTTTATTCTACTTTTTATTGTCTTTATCATCTTGCTGTTTTCCTCATTGTTGTCTCATTTTATTTATGATTCCCTTTATTGTCTTGCTATATTATTGTCCTACGCTAGACATTACTATTGTCTGTAAGCATGATTAAGTCCTACTAACACAAAGCAAAAATGAATTAGTAAAGAAACACAGTGAACATACTAGATTTTAGGAACTATGCTAACAGCTCTAGCATACAAAATTTCATTTTATCGTACTTCCTGTGGAGCACTGTACACAGGAAGCTCTTCCTATATGGCCGATGATGAAGGTGTAAAACAAAATAAAGTCCAGAGGAGGATAATCCATCTGCTTGCAACAAGGGACTCCAATTTTCTGTATGCCTAACATGACCATGCCTTCTTGTTCAGCCTCTGAAAGTGAATGAATCTCGATCTTAAATGAGAAAAGATTAACAACTCTATAATGTTGCAATTTCCTTCCAGTTAATGATAATATATTTACAGGAGATTTCAATTTGTGATTCCTCACCCTGTGAAGAGGAAGAAAAAGGAGAACAAAAATGGACTATTTTATACAAAAGCTTTTCCTTTAAAAAATGAAATGAAAATTATAGTAAACGACTTAGCTTTTAACAATGTATTTTGGTTTAATATGTACAATTACTCTGAGATACTTTGTGCTAGTCAGCATGACCTAATCATAAAAAAAATAATAAAGTTTGAATTCTAAAGTTGGTTGGATGCAGTGGCTCACACCTGTAGCCCAAGAAGGCCGAGGCAGGAGGAGGCCTTGGAGAGGGGATCACTTGAGCCCAGGAGTTCGACACCAGCCTAGGCAACATACCAAGACACTCCTCTCTATAAAAAATAATAAAAATTAGTGGCGTATGATAGCACACGCCTGTAGTCTCAGCTACTCTGGAAGCTGAGGCAGAAGAACTGCTGGAACCCAGGAGTTGGAGGCCGCATTAAGCCATGATCATGTACACCTTCCTAGGTGACAGAGCAAGACCAGGTCTCAAAAATAATTAATTAATTAATTTTTTAAATAAAATAATACAGTTGAATCAAGCACCTAAGGTAATATTATTATTCATCTGGGTAGATCTTAGGCAAAAGTAAACCAATAAAAGAGAAAACCCCACTTCTGACTTAGTAACTCTTAGAGGAAGGGATCTGTAACGAGTTGACGGACAGGAGCCAAGGGCGTGATCATAGATTGGGGCTGTGGCAAATGCTCTAAACCTTATTACCCATGCCTTCTCCTATGGCTTTTCTCAGGTGGGAAAACTGCCATGACCTACACAGCCCAGACTTCAGCATCTTCTTACAACAAGGGACACTCACATTCTGAAACCAGGTGATACAGAGCCAGGGCTGGGGCAAGTACAGTGAGGACTGGTAGTTGGCCAACACATCCTTCTATATTCACCATATTTTTATTTTTAATGCCTTGGATTAAAAGTGCTCAATTAGATAGAATCACAGAATAAGTTTGGAGCCCTCTAATTTCTTCTAATTAACCTAAAATGATTACATAAAGGGGAAGTTTGCAATTTGGCCAACTAATGTGCACAATATACAGTCTCGTTTATGTTTGCTTTTCAACCTCAATAACTTCATGCTTCATATGCTTTAACTTTAGAAGAACAATGTCCATTGGGCAGTATTATGAATAAGGACCTACCCCATCAGGTGAAAACATTAAAACACCAGGAAATATAGCCAGCTGTGCTAACGAGGTGTTAGGAGTTGAGAATGCAGAGCCCCCTTTTGCTCTCAGTTTTTAGTTTGGTTTGTTAAGTTTGGTAACGTTCTCCATCAAGAAAAAAGTGAACCATATTTTGATCCAATATACTGTTATAAAATAGTTTCAGAAACTTTCTTTATATGTTCATTGTAATAATTCAATTAAAATGTGCCTTTTTTGGACTAAACTTTATAAAGAATTCCTATTAAAGGCAAGTACTGAATACAAGTTAAATACAAACTAACTATAAATTTAATTTTTTAAACCTATTTCTAACTTAAAGAAAGGTTAAAGCAATCTACTTTTAATTAAATATATCTATGGCAACTTAATTTTAAATCTTAAGGTTTTGCAACCCAATTTTTCATGATAAGAATATTACTAAAACTCATCTGCATTGAATGACAATCTTCCATTCCTCTCGGCTCTGACTCCATTATCTCTCTCATGGGAATGAATGCTTTGCTATGACTGATGATGAATAAGATATATAGGACAAATGATGCACTTTTTCATTTAAAAGACTAAAAAGGAAATTCACTTTAGTCTCCTTTCTGCCTAGTTTCATTAAACTCTAAATGCAGCTATTCTAAGAGATTTTTTCTAGCTCAGATCAGCTTGACAAAAAAGGTCTCATGTATCATTTAAATCAATTACAGATTCTCTGGACATATACCTCAAACTTTCAGTCCAACAGTTTTGGTTTAAAAATAAACACATAAAATATTACCAAAAAAAATATGCAATCAAACACGATCCTCAAAAAACAGTATCCTGAAGGAGTATATTGTTTATAATTATTATTAAATTATATTCCAAGAGTTACTTTTTGACTTTAGAAAGTATTAGGAAAGTATTGGTAATTACTTCCTAACGTATCTTTATAAAATTGTATCTATTTTTATACCAAAAAAATCACATAATGGCCACAACTACTTATAATAACATCAAAATTTCAATTTAATGTTATTAATATATAAGCTCAGGCAATGACTGCTGGTTAGGAAGAAACCATCCATTTCCTCCGCTAGAAGAGAAGGTTATTGTCCCTCTTGTGCATTGCTTGAATTTCCAAGACTTACTTAACACAGTATTTGGCACACAGAAGAGACTCAATAAGTACTGTTACTTAAGGGAAGGAAAGCAGGGGTAGATGAGAAAGAAGCTATTGAATTTAAATTCTGGATCTTTCATATAGTCTTCTAATATCAAGAACCCTGACAGATTTTTGAAACACACAAACACACACACACAACCACCTATATATATCATATACATATAAACTATATGTATAGTGAATTACATGTGAATATCAACACTATTTAGAGGAAAATACAATTTTAACAGAGTAAGCACCTTATTTTAAGATCATATTCTGTAACTACAGAAAAAAAAGGAAGAGAATAAAACTTTGATATTACTTGTCTAGAGTTTAGATGTATTGGTAATCATGTATAAACTGTTTTATGATATTTTAGAAGTCTGTAATAATTGCTACAAAGTTAATTGCTTGTTTTATGTGAATTAAGAAATAAAGTACCATCTTTTTTCCCTAAGAACTCAGAGCCTTTTTGTAAGCCTGAAACTCTCTTTTTAACACTAGTAACTAGGCTTGCTGAGGAATAAGACGATCAAAGCAATATCTAAGAAAAAGGAAGGATGGAAGGAAATGAGGGAAGGGGGGAGAAAAGGAGTGGGAGGTAGAGAACGAAGAAACTGAAAGAGAGAAGGAAAAGGAGGAGGAAGGGAGGGAAAAAGGGAGGAGAGAAGATAGGAGGGAGGAACAAATGAATCAAAAATGTTTTCTTCCTCTTTGAACAGAAAGATACATAATAGTATGTACAAATGTAGCCATTTAAAGAAAGTAGGGGTCACTTAGAAGCAAATAAAATCAGAAATGGCTCTGGTGATTTATGTTCTTTTGACACAGCTGCTTCAAGAGGCACAGCCTTACTCTAGATTGCAAGAGTGGGCAAAGGAGGAGGGGAGAATTCTCCAGCTCCCCGCCTCCTTCTACTCTCCAGTCTTCCACTAGTGCTACCCACTAAACCAACTCAACAGAAGCAGAAGCCAAGGGAGCTCGGCTTGGAAATGTGGAGAGTACGGCAGAGAAGGATGAGTGAAAGGATCATAGGGCAAATAAGGAAATGACCAACACAGCAAAATATTGAATTTGGTAAGAGCATCAATAACCAAGACAACCCAAGAGAATCAAAACTATATTGTTACCCAGTGTAACGCCTATGTGACATAGCTGAATTTCTACCCTGCCCTAACTCTGCTTATCCTTAAGAAACAGGATGCCTATGATACAGTTTCCTTTGTAGCCAGACTAGCTGAGACTGGTTAGGACTAAGACAGCCGACTGAAGGACGTCAAAAAGACCTCAGGCTTCATTATAATCTCATTTCCATGCTAAATGACACTCCCATCAGTGCCATGACAGTTCACAGTCGCCAAGACAATGACTGGAAGAGGCCATAAAAGGACAAAAAAGGCAGCACTCCAGTTCTGAAATGTTCACTGCCCACTTGCAGAAAAATCGTGAATATTCCTTTTGCTTTTAATGTCCAACTCCTTCATTAGAGAAACACTACATTTTAATCCCCTCAACCTTCACTAGTCGAGAAGTTGATTGGTGAGCCAAGCTCCCTCTTCTCAATTTCACGGCCACTGAATAAAGCCTGTACTACTTGACACACATTTTCATAACAGTAAAATTCACAAGAAATAATAGAAACAACCCAAATGACCATCTACTGAGGAATGAATAAACAAAATGTGGACTACCTATACAGTGTAATTTTATTTGGCCATAAAGAGTACTGTTACATGCTACAAAACAGATGAACTTTAAAAATATTATGCTAAATGAAAGAAGCCAGACACAAAAGCCCAGATGTATGATTCCATTTATATGACATGTCCAGAATAGGCGAAGCCATAGAGACAGAAACTAGATTGGTGGTTGACAGGGGTTGGTAGGAAGAAGAGGGGAATTAGAACTAACTACTAACAGGTATGAGGTTTCTTTTGGGGTGACGGAAGTGTTCTGAAACTAGATAGTAATAATGGTTGCACAACATAAAAATATAGTAAAAACCACTGAAGTGTGTACTTTAAAGAAGTGAATGTTATGTTATATGAATATCCCTCAACTTTTAAAATATTAGAATGAAAAAGAAAGAAATAAAATAAATACAAAAAGCGAGAGTATTAACAGGCCTTCAAGATTTGGGTTAAAACTCACTTATGTGTCCATGGTTGTTAAAAGACAATGACATCAATATTGAAGGTCATTCCTTCTTGCTGAAAAAAAGTGTGGTATTATTTTCAGCTTCCTGATCGCTAAATAATACATCTGAAGCGATTCCGCCACTGATTTACAAGCAAGTAAGATGGCTAAGTCATTTTTTCAGGAGTCCCTAATGAGAGGGGGGTCTCTGGCAGTCATAATTAAAATGAATACTTTCATAGTTTTACATGATGAACTGGCAAGCTATAATACAAAGAAGCAAGTTTCCTTTTTTTCCGCCCCCCCAAGATCTATTCAAGCTTAAAAGTACCTCTAATTTTTTTCCTTAAAAGGAAATAGTTCAACAGGGGTTGAAAATATAAAGAATACAAGACAGTAATAGGGAAAAGAGGAAAATAATCTGAAATGAAGAGAGAGCTACAGATTCAAAGCCTGACAATAAACCAGACCAAGCGTCAAGACTAATCAGTGAATTCCAATTCACCTGCATGAAACAACTGCTTGGATGAGCAAAAACAATGCTGTACAGCTTTGACAGATTTACCACATTTCTGTAAACCTCTCCACAATGCAAAACGATACTCAGATAAGCTACCTGTGGCATAAGAAAGAAATTATCAACAAATTAAATGGAAGTTGCCTTAAATGTCTATCATAAGTGACAGCTTCTTAGAATAATGCAATTTGAACTTAAAATGAATAGTTTTGTTGTGATCACGATACAAAAAATTTGATATATGTTGTACTCAGTCACACTTGGGGCTAGATGTGACTGTTATAAAACAGAACATCACTTCTCTAAGAAAACATCTAACTTGATAAGAGAATATGAATAATGCACTTTGTGTAAGTAAATGGCGAGCTTAACAAAGCCAATTTGATAGATAAAATTATGAAAATTTAAAGACAACTGCTAAAGAACAACCATAAACAAGATAATTTTACAGACATTAACTGCAAGTGGAATACCAAAACTGAAACCTAAGAAAAAGTACTGTATTAACAGAGCATAAATTTTGAACAAAATATTTTTAAAAAGCAATATGAGGCTAGGAAATGTATATTTATGTTACACAATTCAAAATCTACTTTCTAGCATTAAGGTCCATACCAGGAAAAACTCTCTCAAACCATGTATTTCCTATATTCTGACACCACAACAATCATCAACACAGAAGAGGACTTCTGTGACCAAAGGTATGGGAACTTCTCCCCACCACCAAGCAGCAGACACCAACTGGGTGTCCTCCAATTCAATCCTGACACAATCTACCAGGAGACAGTGTCAGATCCCACAGGTTGGGGGCTCAGTCCCCAAGACTGCCCCCCACACCAGTAAACAGCAGTCACAAGTCTGGGCCTCCGGAACTTCAAGTTGGGATTCCCATGGTCCCCTCTTTGGGTTCAATTAGTTTGCTGGAGTGGCTCACAGAATTCAGGAAAGCACTTACTTACGTTTACCAGTTTTGTATAAAGGATATTGCAAAGGATACAGACAAAGACACGCATAGGGTAAGGTATGGGAGAAAGGGCAGACAACATCTTTTTTTTTTTTTTTTGAGGCGGAGTCTCGCTCTGTCATCCAGGCTGGAGTGCAGGGGTGTGATCTCGGCTCACTGCAACCTCCGTCTCCCAGGTTCAAGCGATTCTCCTGCCTCAACCTCCCCAGTAGCTGGGCCTACAGGCACCTGCCACCATGCCCAGCTAATTTTTTTGTATTTTTAGTGGAGACAGGATTTCACCGTGTTAGCCAGGATGGTCTCAATCTCCTGACCTCGTGATCCGCTGGCCTTGGCCTCGCAAAGTGCTGGGATTACAGGCGTGAGCCACTGCGCCTGGCCCAGGGCAGACAACTTCTATGCCCTCTCTGGGCAAGCCACCCCAATGTGTTCAGCTATCAGGAAGCTCTTGGAACCCAGTTCTCTTGGGTTTTTGTGGAAGCATGCCTTCCCCCAGGGTATGAGGCAGGACCCTCTCAGGGTAGAGTCTTAACAACCACAATCAGAAAGGTGGGGAAAGATTAGAGTCCTGCTTTGGAGCAGGTGGAAGGAAGAAGGAAGAAAGATTCTGTTTCCTGAGGCCTACCCTTAAAGTCTAACACACGCAGCATTTTAACGAAAGACTGTAACAAGGGACATGGGAATTGTGAGCCATGAACCATGGATAAAAACCTAATATATAAAATATCTATTACATTTTAGGTATTATATATTATATTAGGTATGATATCTATTAGGTATAATATATTAGGTGTTATATATTATATATATAATTTTATATATATATTAGTTTTATATATATATATGTGTATATATATATATATATCTTACAACACGACAAGGTCTCTAACAGCAATCTCCTAAAATCCCAGAAGGTAAAGATGCTTTTCAGTAAAAATAATCCCATTAGGCATTATAGCAAAGCTCCATGATCCAGCACAATTGGGGCCAAAAGTTGGTATGTATGTTGAAAATATTAGTTAAAAGAGGGAGTAATAAAGTACACACACACACAAAACAGTAAACATGTTATTTTAACTTAAAACCTAAATAGAAATATACATTCGCCCATCTTGTCACATAAAACTAAAGTTTGGGCCCTCTGATAAGGATTTTGTAGCATCTGTCTTATATGAACATACATCTCCAATGCAACGTTTATAATTCCCAACTCCCTCTGGACAAAAATGAATGAAAGCTAAAAGGTTTATGTAAAATAATCTACATGCAAAAGTCAATTAGGTTTATATCTTTTCTTTTTAAGTTCATACTTAATTCAAAATACTTTTTAAAACTTGTCCTTACTGAGATTTTCCCAATATTCAATAACTTTCTTTCCTGTCATAGTCATAGATCATCACTTTATATAAAATTATGATATAGAATTATAATGGGAAAAAGTAGCATGGATGGGATTGGGGGAGGAAACTGACACACAGTATAACTGGTAGAAGCAGAACTGTATACCTGTAGTAGACTATAGTCTACTACCTGTGCTCAGTATTCTGTGGGAATCAGTCAGCGGCATTTACAATGAAATCTGTTAAGCAAAAGTAAGTTCACTATGTCTAGTAAACAGAGATTGGTTAAGTAAACCTCCATTGTACATATACTCCATTGAAAGTGAACAACCCATTAGGTAAAATAAACTAAGGTGGTGAGAGCAACGAAATCAGGTTGGAAAGCCAAAGGAAGTACTGCAAAACTTTCTACAAAACACTGTTTGCTGAATGCTTACTTTAGGTTCACATACGTCAAAGAGGTCACTTCTCAGCATAGGTACTGGTTTGGTTAACAAACCTAAAGCCTTGTGCCTTGTAGTTCGCTATCACTTTGCCAAAATAAACAGTTTCTAGAATCCCAAGGCTGCCTCCAAAAACCTGCTTTCTAGGAAAAATTTCCAATAAACTTAATTGAAGGGAAGCCACATAGCAAAAATGCATTAACAGAGAACCCAGAGGGAGTTGAAATGTCTATTGAACAAACGACTCCTTGAAGGTCTCTCTGAGTTCAGAAGTCAAGAAATCTTCTCAACAATCTGTCTGGATCACTACCCTGCCAAAACAATTCTCTTCCCACAAAAACTGTAAGATATCTAGAATATCAAAAAATATGGAAAGTTTACACTGTATACCACAAAGATGGGTCATACGTTATTGTTCCCAATTTTTCATGAGCCTTATATTAGTCAGGGTTCTCTTAGAGGGACAGAACTAATAGGATAGATATATAAAGGGGAGTTTATTAAGAATTAACTTACGCAATGGCAAGGTTCCACAATAGGCCGTCTGCAAGCTGAGGAGCAAGGAGAGCCACTCCAAGTCCCAAAACTGAAGAATTTGGAGTCTGACGTTCAAGGGCTTTAAGCATCCAGCATGGGAGAAAGATGTAGGCTGGGAAACTAGGCCCTTATCTTTTTCAAATTGTTCTCCTGCTTTATATTCACTGGCAGCTGATTATATTGCGCCCACCAGATTAAGGGTGGATCTGCCTTCCCCAGTCCACTGACTCAAATGTTAATCTCTTTTGGCAACACCCACACAGACACACCCAGGATTAAAACTTTGTATCCCTCAATCCAATCCAGTTGACACTCAGTATTAACCATCACAAGCCTCCATAAAAGATGATTTGGCCTTCATGCCTCATTGACATAAGGCTTGGCCATGTTATTTGGCTAATGAAATGTAAGTGCAAATCACATATGTTACTTACAAGCTGAAGTTTTTAGAGCCATCCTAGAGTTTCTTCATTGCTCTTTCTCTCTCTCATGTGATCAGTGGCTCCCCATATTGGGGTTACTCCATTAACCTGTATTCTGGAGTGAATTTGACAGTTGCGGGAGAGCCACAGCTGACCACTACAGCGAAAATGAACAAGAAAGAGGCCTTTGTTGTTGTAAGCCATCAAAATGTTGGAGTTGTTTGTAAAATGTCATGCCACAGTGAAAGCTGACTAATAGAGACAAAAAAGATTAGATGAAGAAACAGAATCCAAAAGAAGCTGGTATCAGAATTATACCCCGAACCAGAAACGGCTTCCAACCAGTAAAAAATGATCGCTAATTTTCGTATCAGTGTTTCTCAGACTATGGTTATGTACCAATTACCCTTCTTAAAAAACTTTAATTTCACTATAGACCAATAATTATGTAAATAAAATTAATTATTCAAAAACTGAAAGAAAAAATATTTAAAACTCAAGCCCAAGTTTTTGTATTGTAATTATTAGATTCTACAGAAATAAAATGACCCTGCCAAATTGCTATCAACATTCCTAAATGCTTATTCCCAATTTCTGACAATATCACTGAAAACAGATTACAGTTCACAGAACCCACTGGTCCACAGAGCACATGTTGAGTAGCACGGTTTCAGAGCACGTGGGATTAAGAAATATGAAGGCTTTTATGACACTGAAAACTTATATAACTGAAAAAAAAATTATAGACAAAACTGGCCCAAAAAAACAGTTAAAAACTTCTTCTTGCTATCTTTCCCACTCTGCAAAAATATCAGTGGTTCCTTTTTCTATAGGCATAAAAATCAAGGTTTGTTTCTTTTTTCCTTTCTTTCAGTCTATCAGTGATAGACATTTAGGTTATTTGAAAGGTGCCTACCTCCCAGACTTAGTAATTTTAAATGAAATGCTTTCCGTTATAGCAAATAAGAACCCAATTATTTTATATTGACATATGTAGTTTACTGCCTTTCTCTCTTATTATCATCTAGATACTGGAAAGCAGCTAGTTATTTTCAATTATTTAGCAACCTGCAATAAACATGATTGAGAACCAAAACTCCAAGTGTATTTTAAATCACATCTAATTTTCTAAAGAATGAGTCTTTGCTGTATTGCAGATGATTCAAAGTTTTAGAAATTCATCTCAGCCCTTTAAACTAGTTTCTAGTTTAACCAGAAAGACTTTTTCAGTGGTAAGAGTCCAATCCTGATGAATGTCAATATATATACACCATCCTTCTAGGTTGCTGCGGCAGCTGTTAGCTAAAAAAACTAGTTGTTTAAAAACGACTGGACGAAAAAGAAATGATTGTTTTATTTTCTCTCAAATAAAGAAAAATATAAGTACTATATTTAAAGTGAAGCTGTTTTCCTACTAGTTTTTTAAAATGTGGATGGCAAATCTGCCTTAGTTTTGGCAAAACAGACTATTTTACTTTTGCAAGGTTCAAATGCCTTTTGAAATTAACAGTAATTTTCTGAAATAAATAAAAAGACCTTTGCAAATAAGAGGGTTTTTTTTTTAATACTGCCAATTAACATTTCTGTAGCACTGATTAAGGTACAAAATTTCTCACATTCACAATCTAGTTAGTACCTAGAGCAAACCAGTCAGGCAGTTAAAACAATTATGATCACATTTATCCCCAACAAGCCAGAGGAAGAACCATTGTTTAGAGAGCTCAACTGTGTTTTCAAACTCTAAATCCCATCATTTTTTATTTTACACACCAATTCATGATGATTTATTTATTTTTTATTTGTATTTATCTATTTATTTTCTGGTAAAGATAGGGTCTATCTCTGTTGCCCAAGATGGTCTCAAACACCTGAATGATCCTCCCACCTCAGCATCCCAAAGTGCTAGGATTACAGATTATAGGTGTTAGCCACTGAACCCAGCAGGCAATTTCTTTCTTAAATAGCATTTATATTTGATTATTCTAAGTACCTGTAACTAAAATAGTCTCAGGTCAGTAGGCACAAAAAAAAAAAAGAAAAAAAATCTTTCTTTTTGCTCAACTATTATTAGGAAAAAACGGATTTTATGTTAATAAGGGAAAAATAAAATACAGAATCCCTGGAGAGAGAGAGAGAGAGAGAGTGTGTGTGTGTGTGTGTGTGTGTGTGTGTGTGTGTGTGTGTGTGTGTGTGTGTGTGTTAAGGCATGGTTAGTTCAGTTATCTAAGAGTATATTTTCACGTAGGTTGTCATCACAATAAAAATTCTGTGTTCACTAAAGTCATACTGACCCACGTGTATATCTTTTTTTACAAAGAAACCTTCTAAATGCATCATTGGCTCAGAATTCAGGCTCCACTCTCAATTTTCAAATTGTTTGTTTTTGAAAGTCAAAGCCCATTAGTGAAAAAAAGTTGAGATCCCATTCACAAAGAGACTTTGAGATCCTATAACTTTGGACATAAAAAAGACATCCTTTCTTCTAAAAAAAGAAAATAAATTAGACATTTAAGTTTCCCAATATACTGCCTGTCCTTAACTATTTTCTGTCACAATTTCATTTACTGTAGTCTTTTCTTATCTCTTCAATAAAAATAAAGGCCCACCGATTACATCTGCTGCTTTTCATGCCCTTAGTTACTAAATATTTGTTGATTGAGAATCATTAAATGAATGTTATCACAAGGATATGGAGAAATTTGAAATTATGCAATACATCTTTATAAAGAGTGGAATTTTAAAAGTCAATGTAAATTGGGATAAAAAGTTAACAGAGGACATTTTTACAATAAAATATGGGCCAGGTAATTTTAGTTTCCTGTTTACAAAACATTTTTTTAATTACTGTACTTTTAACAGTTAAGCATTAAGTCCAAGAACATAAAATTTTTAAATGCAATTCTACAAACACACACAGCGCAACTTTTAATAAATGAGCAATAGTCATTATGACAGTTCACAAATCTAGTTTTCATATAGTCCCTTTCCTATATTTTTATGTTTATAGAAACTATTAAGTGGATTTCATCATAAATATGGGGGTGGGGGAACCAAATGCAACTATCAGATATTAATGGTGGTTCTTATAGTAGTTGGGTATCTTTACATAAAAATTTAACTTAAACATTCTCAATATCCTCAACCTCTGCATGGAATTTTAAAAAAGAAAACTAGTGAAATAGAATGCCTTGATTATAGGCAGATTTCTAAATGGTCTAGTAACAAAAAGTCAAGGCAGTCACTTAGAGAAGATGGGGAAATATTGTGTTTATGTAAAAGAAAAAATTATTAATAACAACCATGACTTAAGTGAGTAGTCTCTTATCCTCAAAATACATTTAATAATTACCATCAGGCCAAGCTAATCTGAATTATCAGATCTCGTGGTCTTTTACAAAAGTGTCCATGAAATTTTCTAACAACTCTCGAGACACATCTAATTTTTGGGACTACACCATGAATTATTTTCAGTCCTTAGACCTGTACTTTCCAGTAAAGAAGCCAGTAGCTACAAGAGGCGATAGAGCACTTGAACTGAGGCTAGTGCAACTTAGAAACTGAATTTTATATTTTATTTTATCTTAAGTTATTAATTTAAATTTTAAAAGTGTTATTCAAGTCAGTTACTGGAAACCTCTTAATTTTGTTTGGAAAAAACTGGGTATATGAACATACTTTTAAACTGAAAATTTTATTAAACTTAAATTTAAATTAAGTGCAGTCTGCCCTCAAGTTGCACATCTACTGATTCAACCAATCTTAGATTGAAAATATTTGGAAAAGAAAAGTGGATGGTTGCATCTGTACTGAACACTTAAACAGTCTATTTTTTCTGGTCATTATTCCATAAACAATACAGTATAACAAATATTTATACAGCATTTACATTGTATTGGGTATTGTAAATAATCCAGACATGATTGAAAGTATAAGGGAAGATGTGCCTAGGTTATATGCAAATACTACATCATTTTATACAAGAGACTTAAGCATCCTTGGATTTTGGTATCCACGAGAAGTTGTAGAACAAGTTCCCCATTGACACCGAAGGATTACTGTATTTGCAATGAAAACTTACCATCTTAATTAAGACTTGCTGTACCCAGATTTCAAAGATGTGGTACAAGAAAAGAATGAAATTCTCATCAATAAAATTTACATTGATTAAATATTAAAATGATAATATTTTATATACTAGGTAAATATAATTTATTATTAAATTTTACTCTACTGTTCTCCTTTCACCTTTTTAAT
Organism: Homo sapiens; assembly: GCF_000001405.40. NCBI lineage: Eukaryota > Metazoa > Chordata > Mammalia > Primates > Hominidae > Homo > Homo sapiens. Next base: position 81,704,215 of record NC_000003.12, read on the forward strand.
ATTGTTACTAAAATTTCTGAATTACGTAAGTGGCTTGCATTTTATTTCTGTTGGACAGTGCTGTCTTAGACAATGCATATTAATATAAAACCCAAAGTTCTGTTAAGTCAGGTTCCTTGAAGAATAATTTACATTGCATTAAAATTTGTTCTTTATACATGTACAGTTCTATAAATGTTGATAAATTCATACAATCAGGTAACCAGCACCACAATCAGGATATAAAACATTTTCACCACCCCAAAAATTCCCTCACGTCCCTCTGTAATCAACCTTTACCCACCACCCCAACCCCTGACAACAATGATCTGTTATCTGTCCCCACAGTTTTGCTGTTTCTAAAACGTCATAAAAATTGAATAACACAGCATGTAGACTTTTGAGCCCAGTGAAATCAAATTTTAAATATTATACCATTCTATGGTATTAAAGGATTATGATCATTTTGATATTCCTTTTCCTTGTATCAAGAACCTTTACCAAGGCCTATTTTTTCCAGTTATTCCACTTTCAAAACTGAACTTTCATCCTTGTCATCATTCTAGTAATGTATTTACCCTTCAAGAATAAAACTTAGTAGATTGTATTACAGTTATTTACATTACAGTCCTTCCTCCCACCAGACTCTAAGCTAGAAACCTGACTTTGCTTTCCATAGCGTTAACTCTGTCTAGTGGAGTTAACAGTGCAAATGACAATGCTGACAAGATATTTCCCACTGTGTTCTAAAACAAGGTAAAGGAAAAAAAGAAATGAGTGATGGAGGTTACACCCCAGATTAGATATCTACTTTTACTGAAGACTCCGAAAAGAGTATAAGGCTATACAGAGGATCCAAGAACTATGATGCCAGCCAGCCAGGTGTGAATGCTAGCGGAGCTTTATGCCAATATTTTTACCTGGATTGCTATTGGTTTTGTCAGAGCTTGCTAACAAAGTTAAGTAAATTTGGAGTTGTCTTCCTAATAGCATTTTTCTCATAAACCTTGTTATTTCTAGTACATGATTTTACAGAACATAAAGTCTTTCAAGAATACACATATCACATTATAACAGAAACAGCTGCACCATACAAAGAGCTTAATAAATTCTAAGGCTCTATCTGAAAAGTCTGATATTTATTTGTAATCATTAAAGTTCATATGGTTAAATACATGAAATATAAGAAATATATGTATTAAATAGTTAATAAGATATTACTATTTAGTTCAATGCTTTCAAGTACTTACTAAAATCTCCAGTAAGAAAAACTCCTTCTGCTCCCGGGGCCCATTCTTTGCAGTATAAACCACCATCAGCACATCTGTGGACGCCAAATGATTCATAGCCTCTGGAAAACTTATCAATACCACCTTCATTTTCTCCAATGTTCTTCAAAATTTGGCTAAACTGCTTATACCTTTGAAGAAGTATGAAAGAAAATGAGTTAGAAAATTAAATAGTCTTCTAGAAAAGCTACTGTAATTAAGTAACTGCTTTAGTCTTATTCAGGGAAAAAAAGACATTATTAAAGAAGAATAATATAAATAATTTCATTTATTAGTAGAGGCTACCTGGTAGGATAAAATCATTCTTATTTAAAATAAACTGAGCTAATCTAACTAGCATTTTTTGTAACTTCAAGCACTGGTATGAGAGAGGAAATATGATGGTTATACTATTTCATGAATTTTTTTAAAAACTAGCATTATAGCAACTTCCATGTCAAGACAGTGTAATGGAACAGAATCTCTACATCTCTCTCCTCTGATTCCTAAGAAAATGAAATAACACAGTCAAAATTCAGCAAGAAAAATAAAATTAGCCTACTGCAGGGTTTGGCAAACTTTTCCTGTAAAGGGGCAGACGGCAAATATTTTAGGCTTTGTCAGCCATATGGTCTCTGTCACAGCTACTCGAGGGTGTCTCTGAAGTACGAAAGGGGCCATGGACAAAAAGTTAATGAGTGGGTGTGGCTGTGTTCCAATAACACTTTATTTACAAAAAACAGGTAGTGGGCCAGATTTGGCCTGCAGCCTTTTCCTTCCCTAAAGCAACTAAGCATGTCAAGAACATACACCATATCAAAGCACAAAAGCCAGTGGCCACAAGAAGAAATCACAGATTCCTAAGCAGGGCAAAGAACAGCACATGCCTGCTCCTGACCCTCTCCCAGTTCCCCTGGATCAGGTACTGGTACACCAAAAAGTACTACCCTATTTTCATTAGTATCCCCTATATCCAGTAAGAAACAAACTAGGAAAAACTTGGTAAAACTGGAGAAGTAAACCATGTGCCAGGTGCTCTATGTCAGAAGTGAAGGTTCCAGAACTATACAATGAACTAGGCAATGCCAATAAGCTTCTCTACACCTCCCCATACCCTCAGGGGTAAGGAATCTTTCCCAGAAAGATGGCAGGAATCGAGGCACGGGATGTCCAGGGAATATACAAAATTTGAGATGCAGAATAATGAACCACATCTCAACTTAGCTACATAGAAAATGGACCTTTTTACAAATACTTCACATTATACAACTTAATTAAAAATAAACTCAAAAGAATAAGAGCTGAAAGATTATATGACAACAGAATGAAAAGTAAAAGACTGCAGACTTAAGGAAATAAATGGAGGAATAAAGTATATCAATAGATAATGATGAGTTAGACTCAACAAAAAAAAGTACATAAGTATAGCAAAAATAGCAAATTATTAAATGAATAAATAATTGAGAATTGAAATAATTAAAGAAAAACAATGAATTTGAATATATTAAAAAGAACCTAAGAGATACCCAACATAGACAAAAAAAAATGATCCAAATATGGATATAGCTGCTGACTGAAAAATAAAACCAAATAAAATGAATATGGAAGATATAAAACTGGAAAATTATCCTAAAGAATTAAATCCACATATTAAAAAGAGCATACAATGTTTTAAGAAAGGTTTGGGAAACAAACACACACAAAATGTATCCCAATTTAAGCAACTGAAATTCAAAAGATAAAAGAAATGAGTCTATAGACAACCAGGCAGAAAAAGGCAACATTAATTAAAAACCAAAAGATAAAGCCAACTCCACACAATTCTAAGAAGGAAAAGTAATCTAGGAATATCCTAGGAGACAAGTTTCTATTCATATCTAAGGGATTTTTTTAAATATTGTCAAATTTAAAATTGAGTTTTAGTCAATGACACTAATGAACCATTCTAGAAGAAAAATAAGCTACTTTCCATTTTTCTAAATGGCAATTAAAAATTAAAAACAAACACATACAAGACTGAACAGTTATTGTAGGAGTGTGTCTAAGAACTGACTCCTTAAATATAGAACCTTGGCTAGACAACTGTGGAACTGTATGAATGTGATCATGAAAAAAGGATCTCAACTGACAAAGTAAAAATATTATATTAAAAAAAGGCATGAGTGAAAGGGGGATGAAATTTTATAGCAGAGAGTCACTCAACACAGAGTAAAATTTAAGGTTGTCATCATTATACTTTTTAATTTCTTTATTAATCTTAGATGAGCATTTAAGAAATAACTATTTAAGGTAAAGAAATTTGTATACGAATTCCAATAATTTCTTCTTTCCATTTCACTTTAGTTTCATTGTTTAAAGTTAACAGACATTTATTTTCTCATGTCTCATTATAGTATTTCTATCAAGCATTTTCTTTAACCTGCTATCTAAAGATAGGCATATAAAAATATCAAGAATGATATACCCTTAATATCAGTGGGATTATTTTGGTGAGGTTTCTTTTTACTTTCTCTGTTGCATTGTTCTAATCACGTATAACAAATAACTACCATTTTAAAAAATGAAGTACAGTTTTCCTAAAACTATAATTTTTCACATTATTAAAACAGTAACATAATTTTATATAATATTCATAGGAATTTTACTGAGTATGTAAAACTAGGTTTATAAAATTTGAGGAACTGAAAGCATTTGAAATAGATCTATGGAGAAAAACTGAGTTTCTGAAATAGTATTAAGCAGAAGCAAAAATTCAGTATGTGATGAAAGGGCATTTCAAAACCATAAGGAAAGGATGGCTTATTCAATAAAATATTGAAATCTATAAGTTTGTCATAAAAAAGTAGATCTCTAAAACCAAAATAACTTCCAGAGAAATCAAATTTATAAACTTTAATATTTTAAAAATAAGTAAGTCCAAGAGATCATGGAAAATGAAATACAAGTGGCCAATAAACATTGGAAACAATGATCAAACTCATATATAACTAAAGAAGTGCAAACCTAAACTTCAAAATTCAATTTTCCACCTAAAAGACCCAGAAACATATGATAGTCTATATGGATGGGATATGGTTCAGGAGAAAAGACATTTTTAAATGCTCTTGGTTGAAATATAAATTAGAAAACAATTTGGCAACAGCTATGAAAATTTCAAAATCACACTCTTCAAGTAACTCTATTTTTAGAAATTTGTTCTTTGGATATACATCACACAAAGATGCAAAGACATCTATGTATATAATAATATTTATTCTTTATGGCACTATTTATACTACAAAACCATGGAAAATAACCCACTTTTGCAACAATGGGAAACTAGGTGAATAACTGTGGAATATCCAAATAATAAATTATATGACAACCATCAAAAAAAATGAGGTAGGGCAAAATGTGCTGATATGGAATCTTGCCCGAAATAATCCCAGTCTCACAGATAGTGTTATTCAAGGGGACATAAACTGAACCACCCCAAGGAGCCAGGCCAGGCAGGTGTAACAATTATGAGGAGCTGACCCCACACAAGAAACACAAAATTGCAAAGCTGATGATAACATAATTAAGGAAAACAAGGCAGAAAGAAACTGTTGAGATGGAGAGTACAAGCCTCATCTAAAAGCACAGCCTCTATTTAATAGTTACACCTCATTGCTGCGTAGCATAGTTTGTCCAATCATGTAATTATTCAAGAACATAAAAAAATACAGATTTTTCTATGAACTCTTCCTAATTTAAACAGTGGCAACTGTTTCAAAATACTTAAAATACTTACCTAGACGAACAAACTAGATATGCAGGCCTGATGGAATACCATATGCAAACTCTTTAAATCATATGAGAAAAGGTTCTTTGTGTGTGTGTTTTTTTAACCTCTTCCCAATATCAGTCATCTATACTTCTTGGAATATGGAAATGCTAATCCATATTAAGTTATGTAAGTAATAACAGGCAATAAAATGATCAGTGTGGAACAATCAACAAAACAAAAACTGAACTTAGGGTAAAAAATATACACACACATACACCCTCATAATACAAGGAAAACTACTGATTTTCCAAAAAGGTATAACGTTGGGAGGATAAACAAATGTGGTAGTAATTTTACTTTCAATGTTGGTATCATACCTTATGATAAATTTTTAGATTTATGTAAAGTTTAAGTTTAAAAAATAATCATTTTTAGGAAGTTTCTTAAAGTATTTTCAAACGTCCCATTTAGTAAAATTTCCATGGAACCACGATTATAGCATTATATTACTTTAACTAAGTATCTTGACTTCCCTCAAGGTCAGCCCTACAGCTTCTGATACAGAAATACACATTGTACTTTGAAATCATTGTGGCTCAAAAAGGAAAATGCCTGAGGATACAGCAAGCTCATCATGCCTGTGCCCTCTCCTACTACAGTCATCTCTCCTAATATTTTGCTATGGATTTACAGGATATTTAAAAACTAGGTCAAATTTCTGGTAACCAAGAACATAAAATGAAACTACTACAGGAACTAGCATTTTGTATAGATATAAAGAACTGTTATAAAAATTATCAGATGTGACGTCTATATCAATGTTTTAAATCCTCTGTTACATAGGAAGAGACAGAGGCAAACATAAAGACATAAATTGTCCAAGATCAAGAAGGTAATAAGCAATAAGGACATCACACATCATTAATCACAAAAGGTAGATTTCAAGTTAAATCTCAAATTAAAAGTCATATTTCACTTTTAAAGAAAGTTATTTATGTTGTTTTACTCTTAAGGTAATTAATCTTTTTTTTTTTTTTTTTTTTGAGACGGACTCTCACTCTGTTGCCCAGGCTGGAGTGCAGTGCCGCGATCTCGGCTCACTACAAGCTCCGCCTCCCAGGTTCACGCCATTCTCCTGCCTCAGCCTCCCGAGCAGCTGGGACTACAGGCACCCACCACCACGCCCGGCTTATTTTAAGGTAATTAATTTTATAATTATATTTAGCCTTATAATTATATTTAATTAATTTAATCTTATATTTAAGAGAATCAGGGGTAGCTGATATTAGCTTTATTTCTAGAAATAGTCCACGTTCAAATCCTAACTCTGTTACACACCAAATGTGACTCTGAATAAATCCCTTAATCTCCTTTTTCCTAATTTTTTTAACATGTTAATTGGGGGCTCGGGGGAACCTCATAGATTGTAAGGAATCAATGAAACAGCAGGAGCATTACCCGCAATATTCAATAAATGGTGGCTGGAACTTTTCTCCACCTTGAAGTGGCAACACTATAGTATACTTTTTACTTTATCAATGTTCTTTTACTTATTACACTTGCTTAGATTTTAAAACACATATTAGCTATTAGCAACATTACGATTTTTCCCAAGTTCCAAAAGTGTTTAAGAATGCTTTCCATTTTTTTCCTGGAATAGAAAAATACAAATATAAATACACTAACACATATCACACACTCCAAATTGATTTGAATATGTGAGTTATGGAAAGTCTGGAAGAAAATAAAGTTGACTGGACTACCCAGGGTGGGACGGAGGGGCGGCAGGGAGTTACTACTAGGCGATAGGTATGAAAACAAAATGAAACAAACTAAAATCTTTGCTCTCCTGGAAGGCAGTTGGTTCATCCCAGATCAGTACTGAAGCTCTAATTACAGAAAGGACTGTGAACACAGGAGACATCTCAGCGGAGATGGATCATCCCTTACCTGGAAATGTATTGAGTATAGAATCCATTCTCAAGTGCTTCTGAGCAGGCCAGAAACCCAAGAAACACACGAGGAAAACTCCTTTCTTAATAGCTGATTTTTAAGATTTTATTTTGTCATTTGCTTCCTATGGGAGGCTTGGATTAGAAGCAAGAAAAAGCACAGAAGTAAAACTTCAAGAGAAATTTTTAATAGCTCAAAAGGGGGAAAATAGGGTTAAAGGAGTGGAGAGTTGAAAATTTTTGGAAGGGTAAAAAAGCTCTCCAACTTTCCAGCACCATTTATTAAATAGGGAATCCTTTCCCCATTTCTTGTTTTTGTCAGGGTCGTCAAAGATCAGATGGTTGTAGATGTGTAGTATTATTTCTGAGGGCTCTGTTCTGTTCCATTGGTCTATATCTCTGTTTTGGTACCAGTACCATGCTGCTTTGGTTAGTGCAGCCTTGTAGAAAGCTGAAACTGGATCCCTTCCTTACACTTATACAAAAATTAATTCAAAATGGATTAAAGACTTAAATGTTAGACCTAAAACCATAAAAACCCTAGAAGAAAACCTAGGCAATACCATTCAGGACATAGGCAGGGGCAAGGACTTCATGTCTAAAACACCAAAAGCAATGGCAACAGAAGCCGAAATCGACAAATGGGATCTAATTAAACTAAAGAGCTTCTGCACAGCAAAAGAAACTACCATTGAAGTGAACAGACAACCTACAGAATGGGAGAAAATTTTTGCAATCTACTCATCTGACAAAGGGCTAATATCCAGAATCTACAAAGAACTCAAACAAATTTACAAGAAAAAAACAACCCCATCAAGAAGTGGGCGAAGGATATGAACAGATACTTCTCAAAAGAAGACATTTATGCAGCCAAAAGACACATGAAAAAATGCTCATCATCACTGGCCATCAGAGAAATGCAAATCAAAACCAAAATGAGATACCAGCTCACACCAGTTACAATGGCGATCATTAAAAAGTCAGGAAACAACAGGTGCTAGAGAGGATGTGGAGAAATAGGAACACTTTTACACTGTTGGTGGGACTGTAAACTAGTTCAACCATTGTGGAAGACAGAGTGGCGATTCCCCAAGGATCTAGAACTAGAAATACCATTTGACCCAGCCATCCCATTATTGGGTATGTACCCAAAGGATTATAAATCATGCTGCTATAGACACATGCACATGTATGTTTATTGCAGCACTATTCACAATAGCAGACTTGGAACCAACCCAAATGTCCATCAGTGATAGACTGGATTAAGAAAATATGGCACATATACACCATGGAATACTATACAGCCATAAAAAAGGATGAGTTCGTGTCCCTTGTAGGGACATGGATGAAGCTGGAAACCATCATTCTCAGCAAACTATCACAAGGACAAAAAACCAAACACCGCATGTTCTCACTCATAGGTGGGAATTGAACAATGAGAACACTTGGACACAGGAAGGGGAACATCACACACTGGGGCCTGTCGTGGGGTGGGGGAAGGGGGGAGGGATAGCATTAGGAAATATACCTAATGTAAATGACGAGTTAATGGGTGCAGCACACCAATATGGCACATGTATACATATGTAATAAACCTGCACGTTGTGCACATATACCCTAGAACTTAAAGTATAATAAAAATAAATAAATAAATAAATAAATAAAAAAGCTCTCCAACTCAGTCTTTAAAAAGACTGCATGTGTCTCACAGAAACTTTCTTTCTTAAGTGAAAAATAACCAAAATATACAAAATTATTCATATATTAAGGCTGCCAAATGAAGGTTAACCACTCGAGACTTTAAAGTGAGTATTTTATGTTCCTCAATCAGGGCAATTATTCGACAAAAATACCCAACATACTTATTGCAGGATAAACATATTTATTGTGTGCTAATAATTCAGTTACGTGAAACAAGATCCTTCTTGTAAGATGTTCATCTGTGCAATGGGAAACAATGTCCAACTCATGACAGGACAGGCCTGAGATAAGCAAGTGTTCACAGAAGAATGAGCAAGACCAGGAAGGAACTAGTGATTTTGACTGGAAGAAGAGATTAGGAGAAGGCTTTAGGGAGTAGCTGGCATTTGTGCTGTATCTTGAAGGATGAGTAGTACATTTTGACAGCTGGAGAAAAGACAGAGAAGCGCATTACATGTGTAAAAATTGGATGCTTCTTGACGACATGACGACTAGCTGTGTGTAGTCAGAGCAGGAGAAAGTGGAGTATTCCAGTGGCCAATTGGGATGAAAAAGATTGTCTGCAATCAGATAATAAGTGGAATAAAACATAAAATCCTTAAAAACTTTACAGAGGAGATAACTGATATGATCAGAGACATGTTTTACAGGGAGCAGTTTGAACGATGAATTTTATTAGGCAGAGTCCATAAATTAATAAAGTATTTATTAAGTAAACGATTAAGCACAGATATTGGCAGATCCTCCTCTTAGACAAGAGTGAGCAATGAAAAGAATTTTTTAAATGACATCATGGTACACATGGTTTCTTATTTTTGAAAACTATTTCTTATTTTTAAAATGTTGTAAATGTCATCAAATCACCAAATGCATCTATTTTCAAAATCCTACATAAATTTTCAGTGACATTTCCAATCTGTATTCAACTTAGCATACACTCTTCACTTCATCTATCAGAAAACAGTAGAAATGAAACTGAGCAAAGGTGACAAGGAATAGTGAAATCCATCTATTTATTATACAAGCATTACTGAGAGTCTACTGTATATCCAGTACTATGCTAGTCACTGAGAATATAGAGATAAAAGACATTATAAAGTCCACAACTTGAAGATATTCTCTGTTATGTATGGGAGACCGTAGAAGAGAAAGCAAGGAGTAGGACAGCATTACGTAAGTTACTGATAAAGACAACCAGAAAAGAGAATGTAATTCTGAATGTAATTCTTTCCTTTGAACTAAACTAAATGGTATTCTTCGCTTTGAAATTCCACAAAGACTGGGAAAATTATCTATTTTGAACCCTGATGTCTTCCTAGTACATACAATACTGGCACATAAGTTTTCAATGAACAAATATTTAGTGAGCACCAATTATCCATCAGATTCTTTCAATGGTGAGAAAATGGTTAGAGTTAGGTTTAAGATTATGATTATTATGTTTAAATTTGAATCCTAATCCTACTGCTTACCAACTGTAACTAAATTTTCTAATCTGAAATAAGAATAATAATGGAACTTACAAGTCTGCTTTGAAAATCAAATGAAATAATGTACCTAAACTTTTTAGCACAATATCTTTCATGTGAAATAATGAATACACTATTAATTAATGTATTCAATAAGATTGATGGAAATGAGATAAACAGAAAAATTAATAGACTATTAGAATATAAACAAGATATAATTCCTGTAACTATATTAGATATAATATAGGTGGCTTCCTGATTTAGTCAGTCCCACTGGCTCTCCTTGTACACTTGCTTGACTGGCCCTATAGAGGTTGTGGCTTGCAAGCAGCTATCTGAAGAGGCCAGATACTGCATGTCTTGATCAGTTTGAACTGTTATAACAAATAGACTGGACGGTTTAAAAAACAAGCATTTATTTCTTATAGTTCTAGAGGCTGCGAAGTCCAAGACTGAGAACCAGCAGATCCAGCGTTTGGTGAGGGCACTCTTCCTTGTTTTCTGATGGCCACATTCTCATTGTATCCTGACATGGTAGACAGGAAAGGGAGGAAACAACCTAAACACTCCCCAATCTCTTCTTATAAAGCCACTAATCACGTCAGGAGAGGGCCGCTCTTGTGATCTAACTAATCACCTCCCACAGGTACCATCTCCAAATATCATCACATGATGGATCAGAGTTTCAACATTTATGGTCTGAGTGGATATAAACATGTAGTTCATAGCAAAATAAAATGAATGTGTAGAAGAATAAAGGCTCCAAAGGACAAACTTTGACCATTACGGGACAGAAAATGGGAAGAAGTCCTTAGATAAATTCCTCACTCTTCTTCTTTAACATCCTGTGTGACCAAATGACCAGCTATAAAAGGAGATATATCGTCTCACTTGAGAATTCAATGCATCAGCTCAGGTGTCTATCAAGATCAAATGTATACAGATCTGCACAGGTGAATAATAAACTGGGGATGTGATGACCCAGTGGAGACCGCCTGTTCCAGGAGTGAAAACACAAACCTCTCACTGTTCTTCAAAATGACTGCAAACTACTCTGTGCAAACTACTCCTAACTGATTAAAAGTGAGTTGCAGACAGTTAATTCCCACCATTTCACTTCTGCTCAAACTGCAGGTCGGTGGTTTTTCACTCAAGCAGCTTTTCCCACTATTATAATCTTTATCAATGCCTAGGTTCACGAGATTTGAAACTAGCTATTAAATGAGTTGTTTCATATATGGAATTACTCTAAGACTAATTGGTATATACCACCTACTATGTGCCAGGCATGGTACTACACAAGAAAGAATAGATTCACAAATAAAAGACTGAGTTATATATTGCTAGTCCCATTAGCAACTGACCTTCAATTTTCACTTAACAATCTCAGAATTTCTGCTTCCTCATTTATAAAAAGGAATGATAATATCATTGATGTCTAGGTGGCTGTGCTTATATATAACCAGCCCACAAAAAATAAATTATTTTATGACACGTTACATCTTTCTTTTTAAAAAAAATAAGAAATGAAGATCTCATTTAGTTGTAAATTATTAACTACTTTCAGCAAATCATTAGTCTCCAATTTCTAAGTAGAAAACTTAAAACATGAAAAAACTGGAATTGCTCTGCTATGCTAATTTTAATACAAAAATAAAATTTAAACATTAATCCCATTACAAGCACACATTGTGTTATTAATTTTAATCTTTTTAAATTTTATTCATATTGTACCATCTCTAAAACACAATCAAATGCATTGTGACCAATCTAATAAACACATCCTCAGTCCACATTTAAGAAAAAATTGTTAGTGTCTTATTTTCTGATGTGAAGGAATAAAAGCTAATTAAGTCATAGTTTTGTTCTTACTTAGTCTAAAGTTAAGTGCAATGAAAATTGGCTACTTTCAGTCTCAAATTAATAAAATATATAGAGAAGTTATGGTTATGAAGAGATCATTAAGTATTTGGTGGGGGAGGAAGTATGAGGTAAATTCAAAATTATTATCTTTTAAAAGTTGCTACTATTTAAAAGAGTGTCCCAAAAGTAAATAGCGGCTATTATTTGTTAAATATTCTTTCTTAATTTCTGGCACTGGGCCATAGATGTGAGGGGGTCAAGGGAGATCACTGCTAAGATCTTTCTAGGTCTAAATCCTATAAAATCAAGAAAAGAAAAAGAAATGTTCTTATTCAATTAACAAAAAACTGGACAAAGCCCATTTAGTGGTACCATTTAGAAATCCTTAAAACTCCATTTCTTTTAACAATATTTATTTATACTACATTATTCTACATTCAGAATAATGGAAATACTATCACGTTTAATGACACAACTTAAAGAACCTACTATAAAGCCATTAATGTAAACATATTTTGACTTAACAGATTAATTAGAATAAATTTAACAAAATATAGCTAGAAATTAATTTTAATCACTGTGCCTTGTCTCTTGGTTGCAAGCAAATTAATAATATATTGACTTTACAGTTTACTGAGGTATGATTAATGGTCAATATTAAAATTTCTAGAGTCTTCTGGCAAAGTGAAAACCTGACTGCCTAACAAACGCTCACACATACACACATCTGAATGCAATAAATCAGAGTTACTGAAGGTAAGCCCTGTGAGATGGCCCATCTGGTCAGGCCTGGAAGTGTCAAGTATTGTCCCAAGCACTTTAAGCTGCCAGCCTCTTTATCAGCCACTCTCTTTCCAGTCACGCTCCTGTTCAGGTCTTTGCTACATGCTCTGCTGATTACCTTGGAAAAGGGCAATGCTGTAACTGTTCAACTGACCTTTCAGTTTATTTTCTCTTGTGTAATATGAAACATGAGCTAACACAGTCTTAGTCTACTGATTTCTAGGAAGCATTCTGACTTAATGTTTCACCAGCTCTTGGCTCAAATAACACTCTGCTCTTCTGTATTCAGGTTTCTCTTTTTGGAAAAATTACGTGGCAAAGACCAGAGGTATGGGCTAGACAGACAGAAGCTTTAGGTCCTCTGCAAGGTGGACCACATCTGCACAGTAGTATGCTCCTGAGAATGTATGGTCAACTAACTTGCTGAGAAGCAATCCCAATCTTTTAAGTCATCACTAGGATATTGTTCTTAATGTGACTTTCATTGTATCCATGAATAGTTTCAAAGTGATGATGCTTATGTCTTTTCTGTCTTTCAATATGGATGTTACAGTTACTCAAACACTGTCAAAAATGCTATCCTCACCACGGGAAAAACAAAATGGAGAGGGAGGTTAAAGAATCGAAAGGTCCACACTCTAGACCCAACTCTAAGATACTAGCAATGTGACCTTTGGAAAGATGAATATCCAAAGTTTTAGGTTCTTCTTCTACAAAATGAAGAAGTTGAATTGAAAGGTTCCATCCTATAATCTATACTCTAAACTTCTTTGATTCTTATTTGGGTGCTAAAATTTTCCCAACCCAAAAAGAAAAAAAATGTACCCCAACACAAAGGTTATTTTGCACATTTCCCACAAAAACCAAAAAGTACATATTTTACCATGTACAAGAAACATGTTACATTTATATTTTTTCTTAAAATAAAATGCAGGGTATAAACCACTTATGAAATATAAAAGACACAGGAAATTTTATTTTATTTATTTATTTATTTATTTATTTATTTATTTATTTATTGAGAAGGAATCTTACTCTCTAACCCAGGCTGGAGTGCAGTGGCACAATTTCAGTTCACTGCAACCTCCACCTCCTGGCTTCAGGCGAATCTCCTGACTCAACCTCCTGAGTAGCTGGGACTACAGGCGTGCGCCACCACGCCTGGCCAATTTTGTATATTTTAGTATAGGTGGGGTTTGACCATGTTGGCCAGTCTGGTCTCAAACTCCTGACCTCAGGTGATCCACCCGCCTCAGCTTCCCAAAGTGCTGGGATTACAGGCGTGAGCCACTGTGCCTGGCCAACACAGAAAATTTTAAAAAGAGAAATAATCTGGACAGAAAAAATAATAATAATTTATAAATATTACAAATTGTAAATTATAATGACCAGTATCTTATGGAGTACTTACTATGTTCCAGGCATTGTTCTAACTTACAAATGAAAGCTTACTTAAGCTCTCACAATAACCCAACACCGGGAGAAGTAGCATTATTCCTATTGCACAGATGAGAAAACTGAAGAGGTTAAGCAATCTTGCTCAAGGTCACACAGCTAGTCTGTGTGTGAAGCTGAAATATAAACCCAAGATTTTACCTCCAAAGCATTGGTCCTTGACCATTCTTAATATCACTCCAATAAGTTTGTTTTGTTTGTTTTGTTTTGTTTTGTTTTTTGAGATGGAGTTTTGCTCTTGTTGCCCAGGCTGGAGTGAAATGGCACAATCTTGGCTCACCGCAACCTCCGCCTCCTGGGTTCAAGTGATTCTCCTGCCTCAGCCTCCCTAATAGTTGGGATTACAGGCATGCACCACCACACCCAGCTAATTTTGTATTTTTGTAGAGACGAGATTTCTCCACGTTGGTCAGGCTGGTCTCAAACTCCTGACCTCAGGTGATCCGCCCACCTCGACCTCCCAAAGTGCTGGGATTATAGGAGTTAGCCACCGCGCCCTGCCCACCCCAGTAAGTTTTGCAGTTTACAGTTTACCAGCTGACTTAATCTTGTATACTCAGTTTAAATTACTTGTTACTTAGCATGTCTTAAATAATTTTAATAAGTTGAACCATTGAAGAAAAAAAATTCTGCTCTAGGTAAGTGTGATACAACTGGTCAAAAATAAAATTGGTGGAAAACTCACTTGAAAAACATTAAAATGTATCACTTACAGTAAGTGAACAAATTCACAAAGTATGTTAACTTTTCCTATTTTATTTTTGGGATTTCGGTTTTTTTGTTCGTTTGGTTGGTTGGTTTTGAGACAGAGTTTTATTCTGTCTTGCAGGCTGGAGTGCAGCAGTGTGATCCTGGCTCACTGCAACCTCCTCCTCCCTAGCTCAAGCGATCCTCCCACCTCAGCCTCCCAAGTAGCTGGGATTACAGGCACGTGCCACCATGCCCAACTAATTTTTGTATTTTCAGTAGAGATGGGGTTTTGACATGGTGGCCAGGCTGGTGTCAAACTCCTGACCTCAAGTGATTCACCTGCCTCAGCCTCCCAAAGTGCTGGGATTACAGGCATGAGCCACCATGCCCAGTCTTATTTTATTTTATACAGTCAACAAAGAGAAAGAGACACATATGATTTTAATTGCCCAGAGAATTTTTATTTGGGGAGTGTTCCTGTCACAATAAACTTGAATTAATTGATCTGAAGCAAGATCTGGAAACAAATACTTTTTGAATATATAGTTTAAAACATAGTTTGAAGTATTATTTTGATAGGTAGTTTGAAACTATATATCAGAGATATAAGAATTTATATCTTTATGATATATAGTTTCAAACAAGATGGTTATATCAATAGTAAAGTAAAAACTAACAAACACTAATTTTTTTACCTAAAACAATAATCAAAGATCAGAAAACTGATATAAATTGACACTTTGCATATCAACAAACCCAATCACACTTATGAATTTATTAAATATAGCCAGAGAGCCATGGATGTTAGCCTTGTGAATGTTTTTATATTAGGAACAGGATAAATGAATCAGTTATCACTTTGACAATGGCATAGGACACACTACATTAAAATATATCAAAGAATCTCAGGAGATATATATATTTCCAACAACAAAAAAATCCACATCTTTTGGACTAAATAGCAGTGAAATATCAAAGATCTATCAAACACTCTGACAGTTCTTTGCCTTTACTGAGAGAGACAAAGGTTTCAAAATTCTGTCAGGCACAAAACTACAAAGATCATAAGAGCTTTCATAGTGGCTGCCTACATATTGGCAAGATCTCTTTTAATTTATAAAAATTCAAGCCTTATATCTATATCTATCTATCTACATATATATCACATTGTATAACATATGCATATACACACATACACACACGCACACACTGTGTGTGTATGTGTATGTGTGTGTGTGTGTATATATATATATATATATCTTATATACACAAACCCATTGATTTTACAGCCAATAACCTAACTCCGATGAAACAGAATAGGTCTGAAAGCACAGGTACAGTTTGGCAAGTACAGTGGTCCTCTGCATTGTGTGCATGTCTCAATTTATTACATCTCCTCCATTACCTATTTTATTCTTTTAACTATTTACCCAAATTGAAATTGAGATAAGGTATTTAAATGTTACTGAGCAACTCTACTCTGTAGGTCTTGTAATGATGTAATGTATGAATGTAAAATAACACTGATACATTTCACTTACCATATTATCAAGTTCCTCACCAAATGAAACTACTATAACCAAGAGCATAATGCTACAAGCAGATTTAAAAGAAAACCCACATGCACACGTATGTTTATTGCGGCACTATTCACAATAGCAAAGACTTGGAACCAACCCAAATGTCCAACAATGATAGACTGGATTAAGAAAATGTGGCACATATACACCATGGAATACTATGCAGCCATAAAAAATGATGAGTTCATATCCTTTGTAGGGACATGGATGAAATTGGAAACCATCATTCTCAGTAAACTATCGCAAGAACAAAAAACCAAACACCGCATATTCTCACTCATAGGTGGGAATTGAACAATGAGATCACATGGACACAGGAAGGGGAATATCACACTCTGGGGACTGTGGTGGGGTCGGGGGAGGGGGGAGGGATAGCATTGGGAGATATACCTAATGCTAGATGACACATTAGTGGGTGCAGCGCACCAGCATGGCACATGTATACATATGTAACTAACCTGCACAATGTGCACATGTACCCTAAAACTTAGAGTATAATAAAAAATAAATAAATAAATAAATAAATAAATAAAAACACATGAAAAAAAAAAAAAAGAAAGAAAACCCAAAGCTAAATTTCATGTAAGTACAACTAAATCTGTGTGCTAATAATGTCATACTGATACTTAATTTAGTAGCCTATTCAACATCAGTAAAATGGAAACTTTAAATTCACCTAAGCCTTGTATTGCTTATGGGGAACAGTTTTTCAATTCTGTGATCCCAAAGTGCTCTGACCAGACATACTGATACAAATAATTACTGTTTTGGCCTATTCATAATTAAAACAAGTGAAATAGTGAACTCACATAGGCACCTCATTACTTATGGGTCAACCTTTCCCAAGACTGAGTTCACGGAGAGCTTTGACCAAACTGCTCAAATGGTATATAATTATACAGTATTATAAATTTATCTGCTGACATATTTTCCCTACCAGATTATAGGTGCCATAAAGCCAAGGATCATGTTTTGTTTAAAATTATGTCCTCAGCATCTAGTACAGCAACCATTAAGAAACAGAGCTAGAACAAATGTTTCTCTCAGCATGTTTCACCATGAGATGCTTGTAAGAGTAGAAAATTTCTTAACAATCTGGGGTGATTTCAATAACTGATACTGATTATTGCATTTACTATGTACCTAGCATTGTGCTAAGTGCCCCCCAAACAACATCTAATTCTTTCTATTCTGTATGTTAAAAATTCTGTACTTGTTGCACAAATGAGGAACCCAAGAATCAGAAAAGTTAAGCTACTTTACTAAGGGCACTCAGCAAGTTATTAGCAGAACCAGAATTTTAAAAGAGCTTTTTATTTTAAAGTACCTTAAAAACAGTAATCATCATCATTGTAATAACTTGTAACAGTGGCTAATTCAACACAATTTCAAATCCCTCTTAAGAATTCTCAAAATTCTTATGGGAAAACTTAGCCGTTAGAATTAATACTCATGTATAATATTTTCAAATTATTAAGCACTGCCCATGCGTATCACAGATATTATGTATGTGACATTCATACATTTAATATTGAAGTGTTGGATCTACATTTAGTGACATAAAAAGATGTTCATGATACACTAAGTGCAAAAAAGAATCAAGTTTAAAGGGTTGCCCATTTAATTATGGATGTATACTAATATATAGAAAAGTTATCTGATACACTGTATATCAGAATGTAACTATGGTCTCTTGATAATGGGGTTAATGATTTTTCTTTGCTTTTATCTCTGTTTTTCTATTTTTTCCTACTATAAACATACAAAGACAAAATATTAAGTAAATTATGAAAGGATCTATAATATTACTTTAAAATTTATTATTTAAAAATAATTTAAAAGTTTTAAGGTAGAGCATGTTTAATCAAATTGTCTACTTTAAGAAAAGTTTGAAAGTTTATTGAAAAGTAGATGAGGAAGAAATGAGGACAGCCAAATAATGAAAACTTATATCTCATTAGCAAGTCTACTGTTCAAATCACTGTAATAGTAGTCATAACTGTCCTAATCCAAAATATGGCCAGCTAAACCTGACCATTCTGCTGAAATGGAATGTATGAGACCCTTCAAGGCTTCGATGGCTCTGTCTATATTCAGTTTTCCCACCCCCTTTAACCCACTTATTAACTCATTCAAAAAATGTTTAGGCTCTAGGGTATGTGCATGGGCACACACACGTGTGTGTGTGTGTGTGTATATATATATATATATATACACACAAGTAAATATATATGTACTTATATACACATATATAATCTCATACTTGCATACATATAATCTATTCAAATCTCTAATACCTAATCAGATATCTAACAATAGTAGGCACTCCTGAATAAAATATCACTGGAACAAAATAAAAATGAAAAAAACGTGGTACCTGTCTTCAAGAAATTACAGGTTGGTAAGGCTTCTCTAGTGTTATTTGCTCATAGTGTCATATCCTCAAGGATATAACATATCTAAAGCTTTCTGATACTTCCTTATTCATTTTCCAAATGTCAACCCCACCCTATACCAGAAACTGACATATATCCTTGGTATTAAATAAAAGTTGTTTTGTTTTTTTTTTTTTGTATTTTTAGTAGAGAGGGGGTTTCACCATGTTAGCCAGGATGGTCTTGATCTCCTGACCTCGTGATCCGCCCGCCTCAGCCTCCCAAAGTGCTGGGATTACAGGTGTGAGCCACTGCGCCCAGCCAAATAAAAGTAATTTTTAAAAAGAAGTCTGCAATATCAAAGATGCCATATTTAAATAAAAACTACCACAGAAAGGACAGTAAGATAAACCATTTAATTTTTTCACCTTAGATTTTTTTCTTAAAAAGAAATAGTGAAATACATCTTAAATTACTTCACTGCCTGTTGCACAGAGAATCCCAGTGATCGATCTATTTTATTATTGTTTGCTTCAATACCTATTTTCCTTCTTTCTTCTTACTTCCAGCAACATTCTCACAACCACGCTCACAAACAATAAATACTAAAAGTAGTGGCACTGAAGCATGACGTACTCATTCTCTGCTAAGACTGGTTACCACCAACGCACAAAAGTCCAGCTCTGCACCCTCAAGAACAACATTATTTCCATTTAAAAACTCCCAGAGAAGACAGAGGCAGCCATGTAATTATGTATCTGCAGCCACTCTATCTGCTTTGCTTCCTGCTCACGGCCAGTATGCAGTACTATGAAAAGCATTAGTCATGCGGCCTCAAAAATCAACTTCAAAATCAAAGCTTGAGCTTTGGTCCTGTGTTTGCTTGTTTTGCTTTCTTTGTTTTTATTTCTAATCCTTGGAAAACACAAGGTTTCAAATTCCCTCCCTTTAACTTGCTACTAGAATCAACACCTAAACAATAATTGTACCCCATCAAGAACTGGGCAGCTCAACAACTGCTGAGAAAAGTATATTTGACATTTTTCTCCACAAGACTCCATTCTCAGTTCCTGTACTGGTTCAGTGAACATGGCTATAATTGAGAAAAGCCCAAATGCAACAAAAGATTCATTCCACAGGAAATATATATGTTTATCTTTAAAATATTTTATATAACTCACTTTAAGTGGAACTAGGTTTGTCTCCAAATTCACATTAAAGGTCGTATTTACAAGCATTTTCTTATTAACATTCTAAATTTAAAAGATGGAAATGCTTCCCAATATGATAATAAGTGCATTAAGATACTGTTCACTAATTATTTCCCACAGTTCTATAGTACCAACATGTGTATTAAAATTATGATCTCTAATCAAATTCACCCCTGCTCCAAATCTTTCTAGTCAATAAAAAGAATCACAGATTTTTCAGGAAGGAAAAACCTTTTCTGAAGAAAAATAAATAAATAAAAGCTCTAACTCACTACAAAGTATTCCAAAATTTCTATTTCCCGTTTCCACAGCTCCTTTACATCATTCCAAACCCCTTTAATAGTCACAACATCTTAGCTTAACAAACAGTGATTTAATGATTTCATCCTTATACATGAAAATGTGATGTCTTTCATTGAAAGAAAAGAAATTTCATTCACCAAAAGCAAAAATTAGTTTTACTAAAAATAAAAAAATGCAAATCTAAAATTTGAAAAAAATAAAAAATGTCTTCATATCTAAGCCCTCTAAAATAAAATGCTAATCACATAAAGTCTATAAAGCCAACAACTGCATTTAAACTTACATATTACTCTCAAAACGTGTGTTTCTGTGTTGTCCATCTGCATCTCACTCAACTGAGCTATTTGTCGAAATCAAGATTTCTGAGATGCTTGCCAAAATGCCTGTTACTGGACTCAATTTTTGGACACAAGGCCTACAAATAGACATATAAACAAAAAACCTTTTCATATAATTAGTATGTACACTAAACTCTTTTAAATGTCTGCTGGTAGACGTGTTGCTTCTGTACTCTACTAAAGGCTTTATACACACTGTCACAGGCTACGCTAAATTTATATTTAAACATTTTTTATTCTTCAATAATAAATTAACCTTAGCTTACAGTAACTTTTCTATTTTATAAACTTTTTAATTTTTTCTTAACTTTTGGACTCTTTTGTAATAATATGTAGCTTACAACACAAGCAAGTTGTAAAGCTGTACAAATATATTTTCTTTCTTTAAATTTTTATTTTCTTTCCTTATATCTTTTGGCCTACCCCGGGTCAGGATTATCAATATCACTGTCTTCCACCTCCATATCTTGTCCCACTGGAAGGTCTTCAGGAGCAGTAACACACATGGAACTGTCATCTCCTATGATAACAATGCCTTCTTCTGGAATCCCTCCTGAAGAGCCTGCCTGAGGATGCTTTATAGTTAATTAATTTTTTAATATACATAGTAGTAGTACACTGTAAAATAACAATTTAAAGTATAGTATAATAAATACATAACTGGTAACATGTATTATCATTATTAAGCAGTATATACTGTATATAATTGTATATGCTCTACTTTTATATGACTGGGAGCACAGCAGGTTTGTTTTCATCAGCATCTCTAGAAACACATTAGTGCATTGCACTATGGCATTATTGGTGATGTCACTATGTGATAAACATTTTTTCAGCTTCATTATAATCTTATGGAACCACCACTGAAGATGTGGTCCATCATTGACTAACAAATCTTCAGTGGTTATAACTGCATATAGAAGATTCTAAGCAACACTGGGGCATGACATGAGCTGTGTTTCAAGCTTGTACCAACAGAGGGATTCTTCCAAATGTTCCAAGCAGTCATTCCCCAGAGTTGATGATGCTCTCTTGGCTTTGGGCACCCAACAAAGTGATGCCCAAAAATGCTCAACATATTTCTTCTTAATAAAGGTTACTTAAACTGATAATCAATAGGCCTTTTTTTTTTTAGCTTTTTAGAGGAATATGAACCACATTAATAACTCAGTTTTACATGGTGTCCCAAGTTTGATAAAATTCAATTATATGTATTTTTCATAAGATCATATTTCTCCTTTCAGGATTAGAATCTCTAACAATACATCCCCCTTCAATCCCCCTTCAGGATGTTGCTCTTGAGGGTGTGGGAGCTGGGCTTTTGTGCTTTGGTGGTAACCAGGCTTAGAGGAGAATGAAGATGAGTACGTCATGCTTCAGTGCCACTGCTTTTAGTATTTATTGTTTGTGAGCGTGGTTTTGAGAATGTTGCTGGAAGTAAGAGGGAGACAGGAAATGGTTATTGAAACAAACAGTAATAAAACAGATCTATCACTGGGACTCTCAGTGTAACAGGCAGTGAAGTAATTTAAGATGTATTTCACTGTTTTTATTTTTTTTAAGAAAAAAATTTAAGGTGAAAAAATTAAATGGTGTATCTTATTGTACTTTATTTGGTAGTTTTTATTTAAATATGGCATCTTTGATATTGCAGACTTTTTTTTTTTTTTTGAGATGGAGTCTCTGTCTGTCTTCAGGCTAGAATGCAGTGGCACAATCTCAGCTCCTAGCAACCTCTGCCTCCCAGGTTCAAGCTATTCTCCTGCCTCAGCCTCCCAAGTGGCTGGGACTACAGGCATGCGCCACCATGCCTGGCTAATTTTTGTATTTTTAGTAGAGACAAGATTCCACCATACTGGCCAGGCTGGTCTCGGACTCCTGACCTCGTGATCTGCCCTCCTCAGCCTCCCAAAATGCTAGGATTATAGGCGTGAGCCACCGTGCCCGGCTGATATTGCAGACTTCTTTTTAAAAATTACTTTCATTTAATACCAAGGATATGTGTCAGTTTCTGGGGTGGGGCTGACATTTTGATTATGGGTCTACGTCATGGTGACTTATTCAAAGTTAGTAATGATGGGTGGAGGAGGGTATGGGGTCCTGTTTCCTTTTGTTCTCTTCCCTAAGGCAGAAATGATACCCATAGTAACATCCAGTCAACCTAATTTCCACACTGAGACAGTTCAATGTCCAGGATACTTGATATTCCTTCATAAAAATATGAAAATGCAAACATGCTTAATTCCTGGGCAAAATTCTCTTCATAATTCCTTTAATCCTGCAAATGTTACACATTTTCTTCCCTTGGTGCAATATTTGTAAAACTTCCTAAAAGGGATCCACGGATCTTATCACTATTGAAGAATAAACAAAAGAGTCACAAATTACTAATCTACCATGAGAAAGGGGAAAAAATCATTAATCATATGGCATCAGAAGATCTCTAATCCTACAGATGAGAATTTGACCAAGGCATTCCTAGAACAGCTACTTTTTAAGAAGGGTTATCAATCCAGACTTGTTAAATTTCTATACTTTTTAATTTGAATTGTTATAGATTTTGGAGGCACAAGTGCAGATTCTTACATGCATACATTGCACAGTGGTGATGTCTGGGCTTTTAGTGCACTGAACAAATTTCTGTAGTTAAGTGTTTACAATTAACTAATTATGAATCAGCTGTCAATTAGCATTCATTGCATAATGTAAAGCCAAATGTCTCCAGTGCAATTCTTCAAATTATGAGAAACTTTAACAAATTTCAAGCTAAAGTACAAAAGAGAATATGAATGTCAATATAAAATGAGACTCCAAGTAAAAATAGGGAAAAAGTAGGCAGTATATTTTTAAGCTTCTTTTGGAAAATAAATTCATGCTGAATAAATTGAAGTGACATTTGGTTTCTCATAATTCCAGCCTGTCCTGATGGCCTCCAAAGTAACAGATTCTTAAATGTAGCCTTCTTTCTCTAAAACTGACACCTAGCCAGAATTGCCAAGGCAAAAGATTATTTTTAAAGCTGCTCCTATAATATTATTTAGAATCAAATTATATAATTATATAGAATTATCAATTAACCCTCCCAATTACCAAAAAGTCAGCAATAAAAATTGGTTGCCTGGCAGTACCTATTTTATTTGTATACAGATTAGCTGTTCAATCATTAACATTATAAAACATGACAAATGAACCAAAAGATATAATAATACTGAGGGTAAAAAAAACGATGTCAAACTTCCTGAATTTAAAATGTCTCCTTGAGCAAGAATCTGCCTCATATACATATCATAGAATCAAAAACGTCTGTCATCCTAAAGATAAGTAAATGTATTGAAAGTAATTTAAACTCTGTAAAAGGAAATACAAAAACTTAGTAATTTCTGAAGTAGGACTCCTATAGAAAGGCATAAGGAGGAACTATAATAATGCAAAAAATGATATAATCAAATTATAGTTATATACTTTCTAGTTACTCTGACCACAGATCTATCCTAACAGAGATAGATAACAAAAATAATGCAAAATCACATCATCCAACTTTTCCTCTAAGAGCCAAGAGAGGCAGGTAATAACAGAAAAGAAACTGGACACAGTAAATGTGGCTAGCAGTGGATAACCAGTCTAGTCTAGAGCTGAGACCTTTAGTTTAGCCATATATTGCAATGGATTATACAACAAAAATATATTCTAATTACTACTGGAAAGAGAGGAGGAGGAGAGAGGGGAGAAGAGAGAGTGAAAAAAGGACAAGAAGAAAAGGAAAAAGAAAGAAAAATCCCTGACAAAAGAAAAGTACAATGTGAAAGATCAATACAATGAAATTAAATCAAATTCTAATCCCAAATCAAATCACTACTGCTGCCTTCTTATACACAAAGATGTATAACAGAAAAGCTAATTAAATGTTTCTCATTAAAATTCTTCAGTGTTCAAAGTCTATCAAGTATCGTCCATCTGCCCCTCCAAATTCACCCCCCCTTTTTTTTTTGCACACCACTCTCTGACTCAAGAAGCTGGTATGTGGGGACTGCATTAGAGTATCCATGCTTTTCTCTGTAGACAGCTACTCTCTCTGAAAAGCAGTTTTTAGCTTACTAGGTGCTAGCAGAGATTAACAGCCTGCCCATTAAATATTAAGTGACTATTTAAACTGCCTGTTTGGAACTGATTATTATCTGTTCTATCAAACAAACCCTCAAAATGAACTTGCAAAATGGAATTCCACTATAAAATGGAAATAGTATATACAAGACCAGACCAAAGCATGTTTAGAAGGCACAAGTAAACTAAACTACCCAAACAAGTGACTTGAACTCCAAAGTCACTTGTTCCTACTGTTTCCGCCTCTCCCTTAAACCCACAGGTTTGGTGTCATGGGCAGGTCCCAGTGGCCAGGAAGTTAAGAAGGAAAATGCATGAGCCTGTAGAACAGCTCCATCTGCACAGTATGCCTGCATAAGCTAGGAGTGAATTGTAAGCCCACTCAGTGACAGCCTCTCCAATGAGCAGAACTAGGTTGTACATGTGGTTTTCCACTTTGGAATAAAAAGTAACTAGAAGTACAGTTCTACATTGACTTATGAGCTAGTAAGTGCAAGTTCTGGCAAACAGGGCATAATCTTGGGAAGAAAGTAACTTAGAAATCAGTGACAGGTATTGACCTCTAGGAAGAAGTACAGAGTAGGATGATATTCATGCCCATATAAATACCCATCATAGAACACACAGGCAGGAGTGGCCTCTTAGACATCAGATGAACACTGATGGTCAATTCAGTGGATGTCAGTCAGCCAGTTTCCCCAGCCAATACATGCTTTGCTTATGTACAAAGCTGCTAGGGTTGCAAGAATGGATGCTATCCATGGGTTCATGGTCTTTCCCTCACCATGTTCTTCCCCTCACCATATCTGACTACCATATATGCTAAGCATGCAGCCAACAAAGAGCAGGATGCCCCCATAAACCTCAGAATGTTACCATTCTATGGACTGATCAACCAACTGTGTGGGAGCAGGCTGATACCACTGGATACCCCACATGAAGGAAGGGGAATATTTGTGTCCTCCCAAGAAGAAATACTTATTCTGGGTGTAGATTTGTCTTTGTTGCCTACAGTGTTTCCAATGCCATCAACAGACTTAACTTATCCTTTGTCAATTGCTGTGTTACATGACACAACAGGGCCTGTGACCAGAGGGCATACTATATAGATGATGAGCTTACACTCAAGTAATTCACTGGTATTACTATGTGCTCCATCACCCAGAAACAGATGGCTTTATAAAATGGTAGAAGAGTCTGCTGAAGTCTCAATTATAATGATATTGGGTAGGAAACAGCTTGACGGGTTGAGGTTCTGACCAGTAAGATACAGTATATGCTTCAAACTAGCAGCAAATATATAGTGTTATCTCCCCATAGGCAGAATGTGGGTCCAGGAATGAAACAAAAGAGGTGGGACTAGCCCTTTTCACTGTAATAATTGATAAGCTACTGGAAGAATTTTGCTTCACTCCCCAATTTTAGGCTTGGTGAGTTTGGAAGTCCTCATGTTCAAAGTGGGGAATTCTTCCACCAAGGAACATGATCATATTTTCAGTTAATTGAAAGCTAACACTACTGTGTGGCCATTTTGTGTTCTTCATGTCACTGAAGCGTGGAAAGAAAAAAAGCAAATTGGGTGGCAGTTTCACAACAGAAGCCAGGAGGACTGCTGAGAATCAGAAAATATACCAGAAAGCCTTCTAGTTTCAGTAAAGGAAAACTGCAGCAACCTAATAAAAACACAGCCGAAGACTGAGATCCTGTAGGAATGAAACTCTTAAAGGTTAACTTCATAAAGAACCCCGTGTAGCCAATACGGAGGCAGCTGTGATTACAAACTGAGCCTTGTGACCATCTACAGACATGGAGTCTGTAGCAAATATGTTTATATGACTTAAGCCAGTTATTTTCTCTGTTTTGCTGTGCTACCTTATATGAAGAGTACCAGTGGTAGCCAATATGTTATGTTTCAAGTAAGGTATAACCGGTTTTACATCACTTGATGATAGGGTAGCTGATGGGACTTTGTGGATTACCTAAGTCAGGATCCCAAACTTTTAACCCTGAAAAAAGGTAATATAGGCTGAGAGGCAAAGTAGAAAGGCTGTACCATACATCTTTAATTTTACATCTTTAATTCCAACATCCTATACCATTTTCTGCCCTGGGAACCCAACCTCTATGGACTGTATCACAGACCTCTGGCCTGAGCAGGGTTTGGCCATTTGAAAGGTCCAGGAAGAGATCATGGAGAAGTGGAGTAGATCACGACACTTATTCTCCAGGTCCCTCCCTGCAATTGAGTTGACTATGTCCCCTGAACTAAGATCACTGCTACTATCAAAATGGATGACTGTACATGATTTTCTTGTTTCACATTAGGTGAATGGCTCCTTCTTTTATTCCTTCAGGCCTACAGGTATTAGCAACTCAAAAGCTAAGCCACTGGAATTATCCACTATGGATTCCCTATTACCATATCTTTACAAATACTCACTTTATAAATTAATACTCCTTAGATGATAACATTTTGATTGTCATTTGCCTCCTGTTGAAGCCTGATATGGTTTGGATTTGTGTACCCACCCAAATCTCATGTCAAATTGTAATAATACCTAATGTTGGAGGAGGGGCCTGGTGGAAGGCGACTGGATCACAGGGGCAGATTCCCCCTTCCTGGTCTCATGATAGTGAGTTCTCATGAGATCTGGTTGTTTTAAAAGTGTGTAATACTTCTCCTTTCACCCTCTTCCTCCTGCTCCAACCATGTAACACATGCCTCCTTCCTCTTCACCTTCCGCCATGAATGTAACTTTCCTGAGACCTCCCCAGCCATGCTTCCTGTACAGACTGCAGAACCATGAGCCAATTAAACTTCTTTTATTTACAAGTTACTCAGTTTCAGGTATTTCTTTATAGTAGTGTGAGAACATACTAATACAAAACCCTACATACATAAGTCTAAAATCTCTTCTTAATTCCCAAAAAAACACTAATTTTTGTTTCTAATTATTATACAAAAACTATTGTAATGGGAAAAACAAAAACAAAACAATAACAAACAAAAACTTCAGACAATGATTACATCACCATGAAGACAATTGTCTGCTTTGTTTATTCCTATAGCCCAGCACCTAACACAATGTCTGACATATACTAAGCATTAAAATATAGTTGTTAAATCAACGAATATACATAACACTATGAGAATTACATTAAGCCACGTCAAAAAATAAAATGAAATAGAAAGGCTGCTATTAATCAAGATGACTGTCCCTCAAAAATATGATATACTAGACTATAATACAGCATATTTTATATTAGGCAAACATATGCAGCAAGTCCACATCCGACTAAAATCCCAGATTCACATATATTAAAAAATTCCAAATAAGTGTGGTCTTTGTCCTTACAATCTATGAGATTTATGCATTTAAATCTGCAAGCTATAAATATTGAAATCCAAGCTATAGTACTGTCCCTATATCTAACTAAATGATAACCCGGGCCCAGGTCACTTAAATTTTTTCCTATTGTTCATTCCAAAAACTTTGAAGTCACCCTTGATTCTTCTCTTTCTCTCACATCCAATCCACCAGGAAGTGCTTTTGACTCAGCTTTCATAACAGAATCAGAATGAATTCAATTTTATAATTTCTTACCATCACTCCTAAGATACTGATTCAAGTCACCATCATCTCTCATTTGGATCACATAATAGCCATAACTAGTCGTCCTGTTTACATCCTTGCCTCCTACAATCTATTTTCAATATAGTCACCCAGAGTAATCATTTTAAGTCATAAGTTCATGTCATTTGTCTTCTCAAAACGCTTCAGTGGCTCCCCATGTCACTCACAGTAAAAGCTAACCAAAGTCTTTACAGCAATCTACAAGTATTTGTGGTGTCATCTGATCCTTCCTCCCTTATCTTTCTTAATGTCCTTTCTTACTGCTCTGTCCCTAGCTCATTCTGTCCCATACAAACTCTTCTATTTGCTGTTTCCTGAATACTCTAGGCCAGGGGTCCCCACCGGTCCATGGCCTGTTAGGAATTGTGTCGCACAGCAGGAGGTGAATGGCAAAAATAAACACAAAGAAGCTTCATCTGTATTTATAGCCACTCCCCATTGCTTGCATTACTGCCTGAGCTCCACCTCCTGTCAGATCAGCGGTGGCATTAGATTCCCATAGCAGAATCTAACAGGGTTCACATAGAACCCTACTGTGAACTGCACATGCAAGGGATCTAAGTTGCGTGTTCCCATGAGAATCTAATGCCTGATGATCTGTCACTGTCTCCCATCACCCCCAGACAGGATCATCTAGTTGCAGGAAAACAAGCTCAGGGCTCCCACCAATTCTACATTATGGTGAGTTGTATAATTATTTCATTATATATTACAATGTAATAAAATAGAAATAAAGTGCACAAAAAAAATGTAATGCACTTGAATCATCCCAAAACAATCCCCTGCCCCCCATTCATGGAAAAATTGTCTTCCACAAAACCAGTCGCTGGTGCCAAAGTTTGGGGACCCCTGCTCTTGGCAAACCCCTGTGTAGAGGCTTTTGCACTGGCCATTTCTTAGGTCTGGTACACTCTTCCACCAGACAGTGCATGACTAATTCCCCTGCAGGTCTTTCCACAAATGTCAGCTTCTCAATAGTTCCTAACCTGAAATACGCCTATTTAAAACTGCCCCTCCACACTCAATTCCCGTTTTTATTATATTCTTCTATGTTTTCTTTTTGCCATGGCATTTATCATCCAATATTTGTGATGTTTATTGTGTATCGCCTGTCTCCTGCTGCTGGAAAGTAAGCTCCTCAAATGTATGAGCTTTATAGTCTCCTTGTTCACACCTATATTCCAATTATCTACAACAGTACCTGGCTCATAGTAAATACTCAATAAATTGCTGGCATGGATTCTGTTTCTACACTTGAACAAAAGGTGAGAGTTGTACAAATTTGCCTTTCCTATCTATATAAGTACTTATTTTCTGAAGCCATCTATTATTTTGCTAAATACAAACAAGATTTTATTTGATTAAGAGCATTAGGTATAATCAATCATAAACAACTTGAAGGCAAAAACTCTGGTTTATTTCTAAAGTTTTCCAAAATAACTTTTATTCTTACTTTTATATATAAAGCATTAAACTACAGAGTTGTATTTGTAAATGTTATGTTAACTTTTACATATGAAAGTATGTGTGTAAAATAAATACACTAAATTTCCTAAATGTATTTTCCAGTTGAAAAACTTCAATTAAAAAAATCTCCATTCAAAAATGAAGCTCAAGTCAAAACGCTACAGAGAAATTTGTATTTTAGAGGTCTGATACTGTGTAAGTTGTTCAAAGCAAGTACCTTCTTTTCAAATTACTATCAAGTTCTTTGTTTTCCTTATTTAATTAAACACAAGTCATTTGGGGAAAAAAACCTATAGACTCAATAGTGTTGAATCAATATTTGAACACAGTATTAAATTAAGTTTTGCAAGATTACCAACTTTAAAGCACAGAGTTTATCATCCAACATCTGGCACGTGTGAGTCCTACTAAACCACCTACTTGCTACTTCCTGATCATCAGATTCAAAAGCATGTTTGCTTTAGGGTACTAGTTTGAGATGTTTTCTACATATCTAGATGGTCAAGGTCTCCAT
Source organism: Homo sapiens (assembly GCF_000001405.40). NCBI lineage: Eukaryota > Metazoa > Chordata > Mammalia > Primates > Hominidae > Homo > Homo sapiens. The sequence goes on from NC_000003.12 coordinate 81,734,647, forward strand.
GAGCCATATTATGATGAGATCAGAAGACTTTTATCACCCTGCCCTAAAACAATGAAGGTGTTCAGTTCTTCTCACTAGCTGAAGACAATGTGCCTCTAATCTAACTGGCACAGCAAGAAAAAAAAGATGCCGTATCAGTTGTGGCATTCCAGGTGCAAAGGACTACAGGAGTCACCCACTTTCTGTAGTTTTAGTTACCTGAGGTCAATGTGGTACAAAAATATTAAATGGAAAATTCCAGAAGTAAACATTCATAAGTTTTAAACTGTGTGTCATTGAGAATAGTGTGATGAAATCTCACACTGTCCCAGCTCCATCTCACCTGGGATCTGAATCATCCCTTTATCTGATGTATCTACACTGTCTATTTTACCTGCCACTTAGTCATTTAGTAGCTATCTCAGTTATCAGATCAAATAAATAGTATATGTAGGGTTCAGTACTATCTGCAGTTTCAGGCATCCACTTGGGGGCCTTGGAACATATCCCCCATGGACATGGGGTGACAAATGTATACTGATACTACATTTTGGAAAGCAAAGCAACTAAGAGTCACTCTCTGATTAGGATTATGTTACTCCATATTTGATCTCCAAGATCCATTCATCCAATCAGCAAATCAAAAAGAGATGTTATATTCTCCACTGAGATTGAAGTCTTTGAAGGTAGCCCTGCTCTGTGCAATGTTTGTAGGGATGTAGCACTGCTTAAAGTTTTGTCTTTTGTTAGTGAAGGGCAGTTTCAGGGGCTTCCACTTAGTCTTCCTAAATAGTCCTCACTCCACAAGGGGTCAATGTGAAAATTCTGCCAATTTCCAGGCTTGATGCAATCATGCATTCAGGAAGTGGGAAAATCACAGGACTAGTCAGCCAAGCCACTGGACCCATGGCGATGCGGATGCAGCTGGAAGTCAATTTTCCAGGCGACTTCCATAAGCCTTGACTCGAACTGATATGCCAGAGTGGCACTGCGGTCCCCCCAGGGATTAATCCAGGACCCATTTTTATTAATTTTCAAAAGTCTGGGCTTTTTCCCAGTAAACAGCAAGTCCCTTTAGGAAAGCCTTGGAAGATTTAAAGTGTACATTTGTGGTAGTATTTCATGTCCTTTCTCAAGGGAAATCAGTCTCACCTTCAATCAAGGGGCTCCAAAGGGCTCCTATTATCAGTAGCAAATGTCAAGTTTCTACTCCACACAGCTAGAATTTCCCCAGTTATAGAGATCAAGTAAAAATATGTTAAATGGCCAATTTATTGTATGCTTAAGGACATTATAACCAATTAGCCACGACCACTAAAGGCTGCATTTCAAAACACTGACTGCCACTCCACATCTAAGCCTACTATGAAAATGATAGCTACCTTATCCATGAAGCCAAAGCACTGCCAAAAAAGCCCTTTGCCACTCCAGAGCCCCGTGATCCCCACTGAAATCAATTCTAGCTCAATGGCAGCATATCCCAGTAAGATTTCCCAGCTGAGAGATACCATACAGGTCTGCTCCCCTCACCAAGACATTTCTCAATTCTTAATCATGGGTATGTCCTCTGGAATCTCAGAAGGGTTGGAGTGAGGAGGTACAGGAGAGGACTGCATATAATAAATGTATTGTGCCATTTCACTTTCCTCCTACCTGCACAGCTAGAAACGTTAAGGGATCTCAACCACATTGAAATGTTGGCCATTGCTGAACCCAAGTTTGAATCAAATAACCAGGCAAATTGCTGGAGCCATTTCCAGGTGCTGAAGTTAACACATTAAATCCAGACTCCTGTTAACAACACTCCTATACATAAATTTGGCTCCATCTGAATTAAGTACACACATATTTGTATGTTGCATCCTCCTTAGTCTACTTAGAATTCAACCCCACAAGTTACTTCCAGATTGCTGCTAATACAAATTAGCCTGCTACCTGATATGTCAATTATCCCCGTGAAAGACTGGGATCTGGCTCAGTTTTAAACCGGAAGGAAATGAGAGGTAAATGTACAGTTAAAGCACTAAGAGAATAGTATCCCTTTGGCTACAGGGCTTCCTAAATATCTCCAGCCTCTGATTTATTCCTTCTTAATCTTAATATCTGGCAACCTCTCAAATCAGAATTTTTAACATTTACACAACCACCACCCCAACTAAGCTATTAAACCACCCATCTAGAGTACTGCCTCTCAACGACTTGAAAATGTAATTGTTACATACCATTCACCCAAGGAAACTGTAATTAAAACATGAAGCCAATAAAATGTTATAAACAGATTTACCTTTTTAGAAAACTCATTCTTGTAACTCTATGCAGAATGGAAGAAAGAGGATGGAGTAGTAGAAGCAGGAAGGCTGGTATTAAGTTGTATCAGACATTGGTGGCTTTGGACTAAGAAGCTAGCAGTAAAGATGTACAGAATAGCAAAATTCAATAGGACATAAATGATGGATTGGTTGGACAGGTGAGGAGGAGAAAGAGATAATAATAACAGATTTCTCCTGAGTAGAAATAATGCCATTAACTAAGAGAGAGATGGTAATCTCCACGTGTAAATCAGAAGGCCAGAGAAATGGTCTGGGGTATAGATATAAATTTTGAAGTAAATGAATATTTATATATATATTTATATAAATATATATATTCATGTACTTCAAAATAAATATTTATATAAATATATATTTATATATATTTATATATATTTTTATATATATTTATATAAATATATATTTATATATTTATATATATTTTTATATATATTTATATAAATATATTTTTATATATTTATATAAATATATATATTCATTTACTTCAAAATTATATATATATAAAAATTTCATATTGATATTTAAAGCAATACTACTCAAATGTGTGCCACAGACCACTGCTGAGTCGCCAACTGTTTGTCACTGGTCCATGATAACATAAGTACTGAAATTGAGAGTAAGCATTTAGAGACTTTTATAGCAGTTTTACAGAGAATTTTTGTATGTGTTGAATCTAATTTAAAAACTGGTACTTTTATGTCTTCTTTTTTTAAGTTAATTTTTCTAGTAACTCATTTTTGTTGAATTTTATGTATCAGTCTCTCGTAGATTAAAAATGTGTGTTTTTTATTTTTTTATTTTTGTTTATTATTATACTTTAAGTTTTAGGGTACATGTGCACAATGCGCAGGTTAGTTACATATGTATACATGTGACATGCTGGTGCGCTGCACCCACTAACTCGTCATCTAGCATTAGGTATATCTCCCACTGCTATTCCTCCCCCCTTCCCCCACCCCAAAACAGTCCCCAGAGTGTGATGTTCCCCCTCCTGTGTCCATGTGTTCTCATTGTTCAATTCCCACCTGTGAGTGAGAATATGCAGTGTTTGGTTTCTTGTTCTTGCGATAGTTTACTGAGAATGATGATTTCCAGTTTCATCCATGTCCCTACAAAGGACATGAACTCATCATTTTTTATGGCTGCATAGTATTCCATGGTGTATATGTGCCACATTTTCTTAATCCAGTCTATCATTGTTGGACATTTGGGTTGGTTCCAAGTCTTTGCTACTGTGAATAGTGCCGCAATAAACATACGTGTGCATGTGTCTTTATAGCAGCATGATTTATAGTCCTTTGGGTATATACCCAGTAATGGGATGGCTGGGTCAAATGGTATTTCTAGTTCTAGATCCCTGAGGAATCGCCACACTGACTTCCACAATGGTTGAACTAGTTTACAGTCCCACCAACAGTGTAAAAGTGTTCCTATTTCTCCACATCCTCTCCAGCACCTGTTGTTTCCTGACTTTTTAATGACTGCCATTCTAACAGGCGTGAGATGGTATCTCATTGTGGTTTTGATTTGCATTTCTCTGATGGCCAGTGATGGTGAGCAAAAAATGTGTGTTTTTTTTTTAAAAAAAAAGACTCTTCACAGGTTGGAAGGCACTGACTTAAAGCTATTGTAATGAATGTAATTACTTGCAGAAATAAATCTAAAGAAAAATTCTAAAAAAATTCCATACCCTGGAATGTAATTCCTTGGGTCATTTTATTTTCCGTATCTCCTAATCACAATTAATAATATTTACAGAGCACGTACTTCTTGCCAGCCAGTCTTTACATGGATTATCCCATTATTTAATCCTCATAAAATGTTGATAAAGCTGGTATTATTATCCTCATGTTATAGATTACAAAATTAAGGGTTAGGAAAGTTAAATTACCCATAGTGTCAGTCCATTCAGGCTGCTATAACAAAATACCTTAGACTGGGTAGTTTATAAACAAAAGAAATGTATTGCTCATAGTTCTGGAAGCTGGTTAGTCCAAGATCAAGGTGCCAGCAGGTTCCATGCCTGGTGAGGGATCTCTCATAGTTTCATAGTTGGTGCCTTGTTGTTGCTTCTTCATGTGGTGGAAAAGGTAAATGAGCTTCTTCGTGCCTCTCTTATAAAGGTACTAATCCCATTAATGAGGGTAGAACCCTCAGGATCTAAACACCGCTCAAAGGCCCTGTCTCTTAATATTATCATCTTGGGGGTTAGGATTCCAATATATAAATTTCGGCAGAGGGAATACAAACATTCAGACTGCAGCACATAGCAAATAGTTAGGGAGCTAGGATTTGAACTCAGGCCAGCTGACCCAAGTCTCAGCTTTTAACCACTGCAGGATACACTGTCAGCCTACCCAGCAGTGATTTTATATATGTAAAGCAAAATATTTCATGTGAAACTCATTAAAACTTCTAACTGTGTGATATCCAGACCCAGAAATTTGAGTGTATAACATCTTAGTTACCAGGTAAATTTTATATACTACAATTTATCACTGGATTATTCCTATTACCTCCAACTAGCCAGTAAATTACTCAAGAACAAAAGACAGGGGTGCACTTTCTAGAAGACAACATATTGCCTGGCAAATATTGAGTGAGTTAACGCCTGTCTCAAGAGCACTGGGACCTAGGAATTGATCTTTCCTTAATAGAAAAATAAAATATCTTACCCTGTTCATCAGCTTAGGTAACACAATAATGTGGTCACGGATTCTCTAGTTACCTTTTTTTATTGAGAGGTTTCATTACTGACTTGAGTTTTTCCATGAGGCTTCCAAAACTGGTTAAGCCAATTTTACCTTGGCTTATCATCCTTTGAAAATTGACATATATTCTATTCCTTTAGAAAGTATTTCTGCTAATTTTCTTACATTTTTTAACCAAAAACACATATCCAAACATTAAATAAATTACACATGCCTTTGATTAAGTTTCTACAATTCCTTTCCAAAGTCCATAATAAACAATTAAAAATAAAAATCGGGCCAGGTGTGATGATCACACCTGTAATCCCAGCAATTTGGAAGGCCAAGGCAGGAGAATCACCTGAGCCCAGGAGTTCAAGACCAGCCTGAGCAGCATAGCAAGACCCCATCTCTACAAAAAATTTAAAAATCAGCCAGGAGCAGTGGCATATGCCTGTAGTCCCAGCCACTCAGGAGGCTGAGGCAGGAGGATTGATTGAGCCTAGGAGTTCAAGGCTGCAATGAGCTATGATCTTGCCACTGCACTCCAGCCTGGGCAACAGAATGAAACCCTTTCTCAAATAATAATAATAATAGATTAACCAATACATATTACAGTGTATTGGTTATTTATTATTTAATCTATTCTTTTCCACTTTTGTCTAATTCACACCTGAATTTTGTCTTAGCACCAAGAAAATAAGATTTTCAGCTATACATAGAGGATCTCTCTCTTTTTTTTTTAAGCTGGTATCTACCCATATGTAAAGCTGGCCTTTAAGAAAAGCCAAAACAAAACAAAACAAAAAACAAATAATCATGAATTACATGGTCTCATGTTGGAGACCACTTAACTTCTAATTATTATTTTTCTCATAAACGCAGTACGGAGAAGAGAACTAAACCTGAGGGAAATGGCTACAATAACCAGCAAAGGCCAGTCAATAAGGCCCAGAATTGAAAATGAGGAGTATGAAATACTTAAAGCCATTATAAGATTTTGCTGTCTTTCTCCAACTATACAAACTGCTAAGAATAGTGCCTCCGGATCACCTGTTTAGTGGCTGAATCTGGAAATTACAACAAACTCCCACTGTACTGCCTAAGAGTGTTAGAAAGTGCACACACACACACACACACACACAATTTATTTAAAATCAAATTTTGTCTAAAAGAATCCATCACAAACATTAAAAGCTAAAAGGAGTCTTAGGGAATTCACCCTCTCAGTAACTGAACTGAGGTCCAGACCACTAATTATTCAGCCCCAAAATCTCTCTCTCATACACACCCGTACAGAAAATGCCAACTGACAGGGATTTAAAAGGTTAAGAAAAAATAGAGCACAGAGCCAACATAAGTCATACAGCACCAAATCTGGCTATTTATGGCTTATTCAAATTTTTAGTATTTCCTGGGTTATAATTGAGCCTTAACTAAAAACCAAAATAAAATTAAACCACAATGTCATTAACAAATAACAATTAACAATACCGTCTATATAAAAACATCTTTGATGCCATAAAATATTAAGTGTCTAAAACCTTAATATTTATCATTGTATTTTCAGCCAGATCTTTCCATTAATGCAAAAGTGGTTGTTAATAATGTATAATAATCAGTAAGTTTGCAAGCTTGAGAAATATTTAGTTCAACAAACCATTTGATTTTTTTTTAAGCCAAAGAAAAAGTATTCAGACCTGGAGTGAATCACAATGCAATAGAGCCTTGGTTGTATTTAAAAGTGTAAATTCTGTTTTAAGCATTTCCACTCCACTTGAGAAAGAGCAACCACAAAATTCCCAAATGTCAACACAGATGGAAGTCGAGAGGAACAGCAATGAAATCTAAAATGCAAACTATAACCTAAAAAAGAAGTACTCTTCCTTTCTCCTTAATGTTATGATGAGTATCCCCAAAGAGAGGAAAAGCCCCATTTTCTCCCATGTTTGTACACAGAAATCAGCATAATTAATGGGAAAACATTCCAACTAATACAAGGCATAATATAAAAGCCATGCATACATCACACAAGTTCTATGTATATGTGGTGTGTATACAACACAAATATACACACATATAACATGTATGATATATAAAAAGTATAATACTCTATATAATATATAACACTCTACATAATATATAGAGTATTATACTCTACATAATATAGAGTATTATACATATTATATAGATTATATATAATATATAGTTTTTTATATATAATATATAATATATATTATAACTAGAGCTCTAATTTTAGTTTAGCCCTCCACCTCCCCATCTATATTCCCTAGAATCTCTTGAAAATCTTGATACTATAAAAAGATATTTCAAAACCTACCTCAATGTAAACCAGTAGTGCCTTAAAATAAGACAGCAAAGGGTTTCTCTTGCATGTTTCTGTTTGCCAGACTTCCCCCCATTAAAAACCTAAATCCTTCTAGATTATGTCATTATAGCCAATTTCAGACCCAAAGAGTAGCTTCGAGAGCCTCTACTTAAAATGCTATCTCCTCTCAAGCCAAAAATTATACCTAATTCATATTCATTTGGGATGGAAAGGAAGATAACCTGTTTCATTCACTTTTAAAATAGCACTTTAAAAAGAGAATTTGCTACCTACTAAATGAACTTGAACGTTATAAAAAAATCAGCAAATCAGTCTCTTATTCTAGTGTGAATACTGCTGTTCAGGAAAATGCTATGAACAACTTTAAAAGTTCAGGTGGACAATTAAAATTCTATTCATTAAAAAAGGATGGTTTATGACATAAATAACTGAAACAGATTTGAAATAAATATGAAAACTGGGCATGCATGTCTTCCCCTTAGTAATAAAAATGAAATAATATTTTTGTGAACCAAATAATATCAAAGAAGGCATAGGCGCCCCATCATTTGCTATGCCATAAACACAAAAAGGAAACCTTCTTAGGAAATCCACATCGAATTTTAACAGTGAAGGTGAATGAAGCCAGGAATGATAGAAATTACTACTGGCCTGGCTGGAAAATCATGTTGGGCCTGAGGCGAAAGAAGTTTTTTAAATAGGAGAATGTTCTGAAATAGAAAGCATGTTAAACAGAATTGCCCGAGGACTGTTAGGAAATGAAAAATTACACTAACTGCATTGGGAACAGCAACCTGATAAAAGCACAATGCACAAATTACAATCTTCTTCATGAGTAGTATTAGACACGAGAAAGGTTAAGCGGTATGTGAGAGAGGTTTTGCCCACCACAGGCCACTACATGATAAAAGAATTACTCCCAACTGTTTCTAGGGACCCTCCAACAACGACAGTAATAAATATTTCTAGATTCCTAATATTACAGAACAAGCTAGACCAGACCCCTAGTCAATACACATTTGCAAAACACCCCTGAGTACAAATCTCTATTCTAAATTCTATAGAAAATACCAAAAGACAATAATGTGTCCCCTAACTATATTCTTCTCTTCTTAAATTCAAAACACACAGCCAGCATCCCAAAGATGCTCAGTGAGTCAGCACGTACTAAACAGCATAGTGTGGAAAACACAACATGGATGAGAGCAGGAAAACAACATTCCACTGGAAGAATGTGACTGATTGCTCATGAAGGCAAATACTTCTAAAAATGGCAATGTTTTCATTATGAGTATGAGGTTAACTATTATTTAAAGTTATATATGCAAATATAAATAAAAAGTATGAACACTGAAGAAACTACCATCTAGAGAAAACAAGAAAAGCAAGTCATGAAGAAAAGAATATAAAAAGACACAAGGCACACACACAATCATGAACACACATACACCCCCACAATATTATCACTAGTTTTAAGTTTTAACAGAGAATCAATCTTTCCAACCCCCCTCTCTTACAGGCAAAGACCAACTCAAAAATAATGCAAGTCATAATGAGTCACCTCACTTTAGCAAGATTCATGGGACAACGAAGTTAGAAACAGCTGTTAATCTGGGCCGAATCCAAGTGAAATTGGAACATCCAGAAAGGTCTAGGGCTATTAAAGCAGACAGCAGTCACCTGATCTCAGTCATTTTATCAAGAAAGACCAGATTTACTTTGTCTGGCCCATGTTTTTGTTTTGTGTTGTTTGTGTTTTTGCTTTATAGGACGGACATGATGCATTTAGCATTAAAAAAAGACATGAATAAGAATTACCTCAATGAAAAGGTCAACGTGGACTAGCCATGCCAAGTAACTTAGGGCAAACATGACCACCTACTTAGCCACTGTTAAGTATGTGGCATATCTCCATGTTTACACTTAACATATCATCTACTTATTTATCTTCAAATATAAAAAAGTCACTGGTCAATAATTGCAGAGTCCCTATCTTAGGCTAAGTCAGAATTTCTTTGGGTCTAATTACCTCTGTTATGAACACAGGGCTGACTGAACCATTCTCCCTCCTTAATCTTCCCCTTGAATCTCTTTGTGGAGTGATACCAACTTTTTCCAAAAGCTGTTATTTCAAATACCCACCTGCACTGTCTAATATGGTAGCCACCAGCCAAACATTATTATTAAGCACTTGAAATATGACTAGTCCCAACTGAGATGTGCTATAAGTGTAAAATACACATCAGATTTCAAAGACTTAGTACAAACGACAGGTAAAATATCTCATCAGTACTCTTAAGTTACATGTTGAAATGATACTTTGAATACATTAGGTTGAATAGTGTAAAAATTAGTTTTCTTTCTACCTTTTTTAATGTGGCTACTAGAAAAGTTTAAATTACCTGTGTGATTTATATTACATTTCTATTGGATAACATTGGTCTGGGCAGGACACCTAACATGGAATCAGGAGGAGCATGAGCATTCAGTACTCATTTGCTTTTCTGGAAACCTCTCCAGATAACACTCATAATGTCCCTTGACTCACTCAGGAATGCAGCCACTTAGCTTACTCAGGAATTGCCTCATTCCCATTAAAAACAGCCCACTATCCCTTCCAAAATGGGCTTATCTGTTATAAAGAAACATGTTGCTGTGTTTTCAGATATGATTTGCAAGCTATTTTAGAGGCTTCAGTGCTCACACAATGTGGCAATTCTTACACAAGCACATTTTCCAACTGAACCAATTTTGCAAGTAAACTTTCACTGTAACCAAAGCTGTATAAAAGTTCAAATGATACCTTCATTAAATGTTTTAATGAAGATTAATGTCTTAGCTCTTACATTATTTATTTCCACAAAACCCACAGACTTCCACATTCTTAAAGACTCATTCTAATTTTAATAGAGAAATAATTTTGAGAACTTAAAGCAATTCAAAAGAACTTCTTTGTCATATATGTATTATCCCCTTCCTTAATAGAAGAAGATATGCTTTCATCTGTATTACACTGAACTTTGTGATTAAATATCTACTCTGTGTTTATTTGCCTAACTGAGCTCCTGTCAGGTAGGACGCCTATCTTACTCATATTTGTTCTGCTATCATATAGAAAAGTGCCTGTGCCAAAGAGAGTGTTAGGAATAAACTTCTTACAAATCTGCAACAGTAAAACTCATAGTACAGATGTAAGAAAAAGCAACTTTGATAATATTAACAATAAAACCCTTTTTACCTATAATAAGAGTTAGAAAACTTACTGTGACCACCAAAAAATTAAGTAACTTGGTTAACCTCATCAGTATATACATGTATTACTTATTTTTAAAAATTTGAAATACATACTTATAGCTTACATATTTACAGAACAAAATTTAGCCCTTTGCTAACTCCATTTTGAACAGAGGTATGGGACTACCTACTACTGAAAGTATCCTCTGGGAAACAGCAGCATCAGCATCACCTGGAAACTTCTTAGGAAGGCAGACTCTGACCCCAATGCACATAAAATGATGTATATGTAAATTATAACAATAATAATTATTGTAATGATGGTGATGATTATTATTATTATCAGTAAACTTGGTAGAGATCACTTTTGGATGTTTAGTGCTTCAAATTCATTATAATGAGTTACAATTGTAGAATAAATATTTCCTCAAAAACTTAGCACAAATGACAGGTAAAATATCTCATCAGTAATCTTTTAAGTTACATGTTGAAATGATAATTTGAATACATTAGGTTGAATAGTGGAAAAATTACTCCACTTTACCTTTCTGTTTAAAGGCAGATAAATTTTTAGCTATATTATTCATAAATTTTCTAAATTTTGCCAAATAAACGTACAAACAACTTCCATCTCTCAACAACTAATCAATTTCTATTTGGAAAGTGGCATGCTATGATTTCTAATATATTTATAAGATAATGAACCCTGATAAATATCAAAGAAAATATTAATATTGGAATAAACTAAAGGCTAATTTCATTTAGATAAAAGAAACTAATTTTGTAAAATACTGACATTAGTTAAGATTTAACCAATTCATTCTTACAAATAAAATTATAACACAAAATATTAGATTTACTTGTCATTTAAGTCAAATAAACAGACAAAATGAATGAAACTTATTTTTAAAGTAATAGGTGTTTGTTTTTTCTCTGTACTTCAATGTATATAAATAAAGGCAATCGTTTTCATAATGTAGAAGTGAAGACTGATACTGTGAAATGAGAGGGTTCTGAGACTAAAATATAAAACGTTTTAAGTTTTTTTTTCTGAGACAGGGTCTTGCTCTGTTACCCAGGGGGAGTGCAGTGGCACAATCTTAGCTCACTGCAGCATTGACTTCCCAGGCTCAAGCAATCCTCACACCTCAGCCTCCCAAGTAGCTAGGACTACAGGTGCTCGCCACCATACCTGGCTAATTTTTATTTTTGGACAGATGGGATCTCACTGTATTGCCCAGGCTGGTCTCAAAACTCCTGGGCTCATTCAGTCCAACCACCTCAGCCTCCCAAAGTACTGGGATTACAAACATTAGCTACCACATCTGGCCAAGAAATGAAATTTTTAAAAATAAAAAATCAAATTAAAATGATAAGTCAAATTAAAATGATAACCACTACAGTTATGCAGTATACATGAACATATACATTCATACAGATTCATATGAAGAAATATTTGGAATATAAATCAATAATGTGACACGACAGAAAAATATGAAAATCAAAAACTGAAAAGAAAAAACCTTAACATGAGGCACCTACTTGAGAATAAATTCCCATATATATCACAAATTTTTGCCTGGCTTCCTAAAGTTTAGGGTTTGTCAAAGCTTAAAATGAGATCTCATAAATAAGAAAACTGACAGTTTGTTTCCATGCTTTCGATAACCTATAATATGTGTAAAAATTTTCATTGCTTGTACCTTTCAGTGACACCTGATTAAAGATGAGGGTAATTTTGGTCAGGTCGCTTCTCAATACAAGTTTGTCAGTTTATGATCATTAAAAGGAAGCAAACACACATAAGCAATAAAATAAACCTGGACTTAAACCTAAAACATTACACAAAAAATTAATGCACAATGGATCACAGACTTAAATGTAATATGTAAAACAACAAAACTTTTAGAAAAAAAAATAGAGAAAATGTTCAGGTCCTAGAGCTAGGAAAAGAGCTCTTAGATATGGCAACAAAAGCATGATTCATCAAAATAAATGAAAAAATTGAAATTTTTAACTTCACTAAAATTTAAAAATTTTGCTCTGTGAAAGACTCTGTTTAGAAGATAGAAAGACAAGCCACAGACAGAAAGAAAATATGTGTAAACCACAAATCTAACAAAGGATTTATGTGTAGAACATATAATGAACTCTCAAAACACAAAAATAGGCCAAGCTCAGTAACTCAAGCCTGTCATCCCAGCACTTTCGGAGTCTGAGGCAGGCTGGTCATTTGAGGTCAGGAGTTGGAGACCACACTAGCCAACATGGTGAAACCCCATCTCTACTCAAAATACAAAAATCAGCTGAGAGTGGTGGCACATGTCAGGTCTCTGAGCCCAAGCCAAGCCATCACATCCCCTGTGACTTGCACGTATACGCCCAGATGGCCTGAAGTAACTGAAGAATCACAAAAGAAGTGAAAAGGCCCTGCCCCGCCTTAGCTGATGACATTCCACCATTGTGATTTGTTCCTGGCCCACCTTAACTGAGTGATTAACCCTTTGAATTTCCTTCTCCTGGCTCAGAAGCTCCCCCACTGAGCACCTTGTGACCCCCGCCCCTGCCCACCAGAGAACAACCCCCTTTGACTGTAATTTTCCATTACCTTCCCAAATCCTATAAAACGGCCCCACCCTTATCTCCCTTCGCTGACTCTCTTTTCGGACTCAGCCCGCCTGCACCCAGGTGAAATAAACAGCTTTATTGCTCACACAAAGCCTGTTTGGTGGTCTCTTCACACGGACGCGCATGAAAGCACGCACCTGTAATCCCAGCTACTAGGGAGGTTGAAGCAGGAGAATCATTTCAAATGGGGAGGCAGAGGTTGCAGTGAGCCGAGATCACGCCACTGCACTCCAGCCTGGACAACAGGGCAAGACTCATCTCAAAAAACAAAAACCGGCAAGTGAAAAAAGAAAAATCAATCCAGTTAGAAAATGGGCAAAAGACATGAATAAACATTTCACCAAAGAAAACGTACAAATAGAAAATAATACTTTAAAAGATCTTTAAATGTAATTAGGCATTAGAAAAATGCAAATTAAAACCACAATGACATAGCACTATATACCTATTAGTTAACATAAAAAATAGTGAAGGCCGGGTGCGGTGGCTCACGCCTATAATTACAGCACTTTGGAAGGCCGAGGAGGGCGGATCACCAGGTCAAGAGATTGAAACCATCCTGGCTAACACTGTGAAACCCCGTCTCTACTAAAAATACAAAAAATTAGCCGGGTGTGGTGGCGGGCGCCTGTAGTCCCAGCTACTCGGGAGACTGGGGCAGGAGAATGGCGTGAACCCGGGAGGCGGAGCTTGCAGTGAGCCGAGACCGCGCCACTGCACTCCAGCCTGGGTGATAGAGCAAGGAGACTCTGTCTCAAAAAACAACAACAACAACAAAAATTAATGATAATACCAAATGTTGGCAAGGATGCAGATCAACTGCATCCAGTGGAATGCAAACTTGTACAGATACTGTAGAAAATATCTGGAGGCCGGGCGCAGTGGCTCAGCCTGTAATTCCAACACTTTGGGAGGCAGAGGTGGGTGGATCATGAGGTCAAGAGATCGAGACCATCCTGGCCAACATGGTGAAACCCCGTCTCTACTAAAAATACAAAAATTAGCTGGGCATGGTGGTGCGCACCTGTAGTGCCAGCTACCAGGGAGGCTGAGGCAGGAGAATCGCTTGAACCAGGGAGGCAGAGGTTGCAGTGAGCCAAGACGGTACCACTGCACTCCAGCCTGGTGACAGAGCAAGACTCTGTCTCAAAAAAAAAAAAAAAAGAAAAAAGAAAAAAAGAAAATATCTGGAAATTCCTTATAAAACAAATGCTTGCCACGTGACCCAGCTATCACAGCATTCTGTGCATTTATCTCAGAGAAATAAAACCTATACATAAATATTCATATCTTAGGTTTACTGTAATATTTGTAATAGCCAAAAACTGGGAACAATCCAAATGTCCTTCAACAGGTTAATAAACAAACTGGATGGATGGTACATCCATACAATGGAATACCACTAAGTGACAAAAAGGAACAAACTATTGATATATGCAACGTGGAGAGATCTCAAGGGAATTATGCTGAATGAAAAAAAAAGGCCAAAAAAGCCACTGTCAAAAACTGATATATGATTTCATTCATAGAACACTCCCCAAATGAAAAACATTACAGACATGCAAACCATATAACTCACTGGTTGCCAAAAGTTAGGGATGGGTGGGGGAGGGGCAATGTGAGTATAAAGGAATAGCAGGAGAGCATTCCTTCGTAGTGATGTAACAGTTCTATATCTTCATTGCAGTGTCAGTTACATTAATATACACATGTGATAAAATTGTATAGAAGTGTAGACACACACAAATAAGTATATGTAAAAACTGGAGAAATGTAAATAAGGTCTGTAGTTTGCACCAATGTCAATCTCCTGGTTTTGATACAACCACTGCAGTTATGCAAGATATTACCACTGCAGCAAACTTAGTGAAGGGTAGAGGAGCCTTCTCTAAACTCTGTTTGCAACTTTCTGTGAGTCTGTAATTATTTCAGAATGATTTTTTTTAATACGGTCTAACACAATTTACAATTGTCTAAACAATCTCCACTATGTTTTCAAATGTCCTCTGACTTTATAGGTACTTGGAACCTGCTAAAACCAACCCTTAGGTTTGATACTACTCTTATTTCTATGTACTTCTTGTTTATATGTTGTATTTGTGAGTAGAGGTTTGCCTAATACTGCATGGGTACCATACAGTTTTTAATTAAAGGCACTTTGGAGAAGTAAAGCAAAAAGAAGCCTGTTAGTTTCACTACACTCCTATTACTAGTAAGCACAACTTAAACCACAAAAATAACACTGCCAATCAAAATGGTCAAGAGGATGGAAGACTCCAAGGTGTAGGCAAAAAGCAAACAGGTAAACAAAAGTGTCAGAGTATTTTAATGCAGAAAGAGAAAAGCTGAGACAAAATAATAATAAAAAGCACAAAAATGACAACCATGAAGACTGATAGTTACACATCTTAAGCTTTAAAAAGAACAGCACGGAAAGGTACAATGTTAAAGCCTCATAAGCTTGTGTGTAGTTACGTAAAAAAATAATTCATGCTTTAAAGACTTAGCATAAATTAATGGACATTTTTAATTTTGTTCTCCTTTTCTTTTTAATCACACAAATTTTCTATTCTCCAAATAACTGAAAACTGACCATTTTTTCATGAGCCCAAGATAAGATGAAAAAATTATTAGTAATTAAGAAACCAATTTCATCTCAAAACATTCATATATATATATACGTATATATATATGTATATATATATGTATATATATATACGTATATATATACGTATATATATATGTGTATATATATATATGTATATATATATACGTATATATATATATGTATATATATATATGTATATATATATATACGTATATATATATATATATATGTATTTTTTTTTTTTTGGCTCTGTCGCCCAGGCTGGAATACAGTGGCGCGATCTTGGCTCACTGCAACCTCCTCCTCCCCGGTCCAAGCGATTCTTCTTCCTCAGCCTCCTAAGTAGCTGGGACTATAGGTGCGTGCCACCACGCCCGGCTAATTTTTGTATTTTTAGTAGAGGCAGGTTTCACCATATTGGCCAGGCTGATCTCAAACTCCTGACCTCGTGATCTGCCCACCTCAGCCTCCAAAAGTGCTGGGATTACAGGCGTCAGCCACTGCGCCTGGCAACATTCTTATATTTTCTAAGAATATTCATGAAATTAAAAAAAGAAGATAGTGGAGCTAGGGCCAAGTAGCTGAAGTGACTGAATCACCTTAAGACAGAGCAGTGAAAAGTCTCTGTATACCCCCGGCCCTCCGCCAAAAAAAAAGAACCCAGAAAAACAAAGATCAGGTCTAGCAAAGTAAAATCCATAACCAGCGGCTGGTAATACTGAGGGGTGTTACTATAGACTCCTCTCAGGAACAGTAGAATGCCTGGATCCTGCACAGAATGATTTGTGCATAGATGTGATTTTAGAGGACTACAGCATGATCTCACTGGGCTTTTCATCTTCTGCCAGATGTAGTTTCCTCTTTGGAGAAAGGAAAAGAGCCCTGGGAAGTTGTGATGGATGAGACAAAAGGATACATTTCAGGAAGATGTGTGTGCCACTGAAAGCCTTGATGATCCAGGCTCACTTTCAGCTAAGGATGACCATGGGACAATTCTGATCAATAACCTGTAAATGGGAAGAACCAGTTGAAGTTTACAAGAAAGCTAACATATGCTTCACTAAAAAAGACATAGTAAGCTAGCACGTGTTCCAGCTAGAAACATGGATGTGGTGCCAAGCTGTGCCCAATCAACCTCTAAGCATAAGAAAGGAGACCATATGCTAAGGATAATATAGCAGAAGATAAAGAAGGATGTATTTAAGCTAAAGCCCAAACCACTGACCTTCGCTTTTCTTCACAAGCCTCTATTTCTATAATTCATTGCTTGTGGGATATTCTGTTAATTGAAAGTGTGCTGGGTTTTCTATGACATGAACCTAAATGCATAACCAATTTTATCATGTTTCTGTACTGGTGTGTATATCTGTATTGTGCAGTTATTCATAATTAAATATAACCTGTGGCTAGGTGTTATTAATGGAAATGAAAACAGATTGATGACACTGAGTATCATGTGATATCACCGGTAAAACAAACAGTTAATTCTTTTTGCTGGGTATTTGGAAAACTTCAACTTTATGCAAGAAATACATTTGTATATTTGGTTTCTGATTATCATATTTTGGGTTGTAGAACTAGTGTATAAACCCAGAGATTGTGTCTCATTAAAATTAATCATTCAATGGATCTACTAAAATACATATGAATATTCTATTCATTTGTTTTATGCATCTTATGGCAAAATCAAACCCATTGAAAATAACTGCAGCCATCAAATATCAAAAAGCAAGAGAGGAAAAAAAAGAGAAGGCAGAATATTGGATTTATAACTTTTTCTAATTAATATGCACATATCATATGTTCAGACTCCACTAGAATAATTATTTCATTTTCAAACTTTTATGCTGCTATTATATATTTTTTCTTCTTCTACATTAGTCTTATTTTCAAAGTTACTCCTGCTATTAGTAAACTCAGTATGACCATTCCTCTAACCATCTACAGTTCAGGAGGAAGAAAATCCCTGCAGCTGTTTGATGCCCAAGAATATGAACACTTAGCAGTCAGATGAAAGAAAAGAAAAAGACAGAAAAGGAAGATCAAGAGAACAGTGATTTTGAATTTCTGCAGGCTAGCATTTACCTCTCTCAATAAAAGGAGCTTTGTGCTCATTATATCCCAGGACTCATCTTGCCTTCAGCTTATAGTAAACTGGCAATTTCTTTATCATTTCCTCTCTAAATTAAGGATCAAAGTTTAAACATATTCCTTTCCTTCTCTATTAGATTATGATTAAAATTACCACCTGCCTCACCTCATTCACACAATCACTCCTACTAACAAAAAAAAAGAAGGAACCCCCTAAAGTAAGGCACAGTTAACTAGCAAAACAAAGAGTTGTGGGGAATTTCTGGTCATGGTATTTATCTGATGATTGATTTCAGAATACAGTGTTAAAGAAGCAAACAGTAAAATCTTCTGAAAGTAATATCCTAGTAAATATTTAACTTGATATATTAGTTTGCTAATAATATTATCATCAAACTATTATTTGTTTACTGAGCATCTTCACATGTATTCTTAGTCCTCAAGACACCCTACAAAGTGGATTCTATCCAACTTTTATGGATGAAGAAATAAGTTCACAGAGGTTGATTAATTTTCCCTAGGACTCAAAGCTATTTAATAGTTATAAGAGCTAAAATTTAATTGTATAATAAATCAATGAATGTAAGATGTATAACATATTTTAAAACTCTACATAATCATGTGTTTAACATAGAGTCTTACCTTTTGTCAAGGTACCGGGTTCCTGTTGCCCTAAACACAAAACACAATGGGGATTCTTCTGGATATTAAACACAAAGGAGCCCTGGATTCAAAACAGTGGTGAACATAAACTGATGAGCTCATATTGCCATAAGAAGAAAATCAGCTCACTTTACAATGAAAGGTACCTGGTAGTAGCAATTTTCTCCAAAGAATACACTTTCATATTTTCCTTTAATACCTATAAATGTATAATCAAAGTTTAATATGTGCTTTCAAATAACAGCAGTATGATATACTTATCAGTCTAAAACTATAGCATATTTCACAGAGACAATATTATCACCTCACTAGCTGACCAAGGCCCAGTTTGATGAGAGCTGAAAGGAATCCTGTAAGTTACAACACACACAGTCATTTCTCAGGAGGTGGTGCAGCAGGTGCCAGAGCCTAAACTAAACCAAGATGCTCCACGAAGTCATTTGAAGGCACTTTGAAAATGAGAAGAGGTCAGAGCCTGTTGACCATCACTGTAGAGAATTCAGGAATGACTGGAGTTAGTAAAGATCTCAGCTGCAAAGGGCAAATGAATCTAGTAGTGCAGAAGAGCAGGTCATGTACATCTTGTCATCTTCAGATTCTTCACTGCCTTCTACAGTCACTGACATCTGACTTCCTTCAGAGCCCACAACTTGGCCAGGCACTGAGAAAAAAGTACCCCATTCCACTGTGATATAAAACTTCTGCGCTGTGGGAACCAATTTTTGGTGTGGTTGGCCAGAGCAATTAGGCAAGAGATACAGCTAAAGGGCATCAAAACTGTAAAGGAAGAAGCCAAATTAGCCTTGTTTGCAGACAACATGATTATATACCTACAAAAACATAAAGACTCCACCCAAAAGCTGTTAGAAGTGGTAAACAAATTCAGTGAAGTTGCAGAATACAAAATCGAAATATAAAAATCTGTATGATTTATATATGCCAACAGAGAACCATCTGAAAGATAAATCCAGAAAGCAATCCCATTTACAATACCTACAACGAATACAAAATACCTAGGAATCAATATAACCAAAGAAGTGAAAGATCTATACAAGGAAAACAATAAAACTCTGATGAAAGAAATACAAGAGGACACCAAAAAATGGGAAGGTATTCCATGTTTACGGATTAGAAGGATTAATATTGTTAAAATGACAATACTAGCCAAGCAATTACAGACTCAATGCAATCCCTATCAAAACGCTGATTATCATATTCTTCACAGAAATATAAAAATAAATCCTAAAGTTTAAATGAAACCACAAAAGACCCCAAATAGCCAAATAAATCTTAGCAAAAAAAAAAAAAGGAAGAAAGAAAAAAGCTGGAGGCATCATACTACCTGGCTTTAAAATGTATTACAAAGCTATAGAAACCAAAACAGCATGGTACTGGCATAAAAACAGACACATAGACTAATGGAACAGAATGGAGAACTCAGATCTAAATACACACATTTGCCACCAACTCATCTTCAACAAAGG
This sequence comes from Homo sapiens, assembly GCF_000001405.40. NCBI lineage: Eukaryota > Metazoa > Chordata > Mammalia > Primates > Hominidae > Homo > Homo sapiens. The sequence continues at coordinate 81,754,704 of NC_000003.12, forward strand.
TGCCAAGAACTTAAAATGGGGAAAGGACAGTCTATTCAATAAATGGTGCTGGGAAAACTGGATAACTATATGATGAAGAATGAAACTAGACCCCTAATATCTCATCATACACAAAAATCAAATCAAATGGATTAAAAACTTTAGTCTAAGACCTGAAACTATGAAAATTGTAGCAGAAAACACTGGGAAAATGCTCCAGGGCACTGGTCTCTCACATAAAGATTTCTTGTGTAAGACCTTAACATAGGCTATCAAAGCAAAAATAGACATCAGAGTATAAATCAAGCTAAAAAGCTTCTGCACAGCAAAGGAAACAATCAACAAAGTAAACAGACAACCCATAGAATAGGAGAAAATATCTGCAAACTATCAGATAAGAGATTAATAACCATAATGTACAAAGAACTCAAATAATCAGATAGCAAAAAAATCTGACTTTAAAATGGGCGAAAGATCTGAACAGACATTTCTCAAAAGAAAACATATAAATGGCCGACAGGTGTATGAAAAAAATGCTCAATATCACTAATCATCACAGAAATGCAAATCAAAACCACAATGCAATATCATCTCACTACAGTTAAAATAGCTTGTATCAAAAACATGGGCAGTAACAGATGCTGGTTAGGATGTGCAGAAAGGGAACACTCATACACTGTTGGTGGGAATGTAAATTACCATAGCCACTTGGAAAAAAAAACAGTATAGAAGTTCCTCAAATAAGTTAATATATGACTATGATATAATCCACCAATGCTACTACTGGGTATATATCCAAAAGAAATAAAATCAGTATGTTGAAAAGATATCTGCACTCCCATGTTTATTGCAGCCCTATTCACAATAGCTAAAATATGGAATTAACCTAAGTGCTTATCAACGGATGAATGGATAAAGAAACTACAGTATATATACACAATGGAATATTATTCAACCATAAAAATTAATGAAATCCTATCATTGCAGCAACATGGATGGAACTGGAGACCATTATGTTAAGTGAGATAAGCCAAGTACAGAAAGGCAAATATCACATGCTCTCACTCATATGCAGAAGCTAAAAAAGTGTTTCTCAGGAAGACAGAAAGTAGATTGGAGGTTACCAGAGGCTGGGAAGGACAGTGGGGAAGGAAGATAAAGGAGGAAAATATATATAAATTTATTTATTACCACTGAACTGTGGTTAAAAATGGTAAAAATGGTGAATTATATATGTACATTTTACCTCAATACAATTTTTTTTTAATTTCTTGGAGTGGTTGCTAACGTACCAAATCCAAATTACTTTCTAATTTTAATAGATACCAATGTGAAAATTATTTTATTTCTAACCAAGTAGAGCTCTTCACTGTAATTGTAATACTTAACATATAATATTTATCATAAAACCCCTTCTCCCATTCTTGGACACACAGCTACAACTTGACATCAGATTCTCTCAAACTGACTATTCCTTCAGAGATCAAACTTTTAGTCTCTGATGAGTATGAAAGTATCTAATTAAGAAGCTATTTTCTTGATTTATTCTGGTCATCTTTAGCTCTTTAATTGAGCATATATTCCCCTTACCCAGATTGTCACATGAAACCTCTAGTAACTACTCCTGTTCCCTGTTCATCTACCCTAGTAATCCAGACATTTTTAGCTCCAGGTGAATTGACCATAGACTCACTGGTATGGCACAAAGGAAAAATGAAGTCAGAAGATATTCACTCAGCCACTGGCTCATTCAAGTATTACACTAAGTATTTACTGTGAGGCAGGTCCAGTTCTACAGACTGAGGAATACAACAGTGAATAAATAATATAGACATAGTACCCACTTATGAGAGCAAACAATCTAGTGGGGGATACAAAGAGTAGAAAGACAACTGTATTACAGTGGATGAGCATGCATAGGATAGTGGTCCAAGGTGGCAGAAAAGAAGAGGGACCCCTCAACCAGCCCAGAAGAAGCTTTGAGACAGGGCGAAGTCAGAGAAGGCATATAATATATCTCTAAGCTGTGTCCCAAAACATGTATAGGAACTATCCTAAGGTAGAAGCAAAGAATGCTTAGGCAGAAGCAATAGCATGTACAAAAGCACAGCTTCACTGAGGGCTAAACCAAAACATGTGGCATCCAAGACAGGATAATATGATGTCACACTTTCCAGCTGATACTCAAACATTTGTTAAATGTTTCTCTTTCATGGGGTAGAGAAATTGTTTTATATTAAGAAAATATTAAATACAGGAAAAGATTCACTTATTTAACCCACTCCTACTAAGCTAAATCTGTCACTCTTCTGATAAAGATTAGAAAATTTTTCTAATTCTTCATCTTTCTTATCTTTTATTCAGTGATTTTTCCAGATGCCCCAATTTCTTGTGTGTGGACAAAATAAGAAATGAAAATCTTCAATATTCAAGAAAAAAGGAATGCATGTGGGAAATGGATATCATGTTTCTAATTTATTTTACTGGTATTCTGGTACCTTTACAGAATGGTCCCCAGAGATCCAAGCTGCCCTCTCCCTTTATGGCCCTCTGGTTAGATGGTACCGAGAGGGAGGCTGAAAAGGTCAACAGGGACCAGATAATGCAGAATCTTCTAAGTTATGGGAAGGAGGCTGTACAGAACTCAAGAGAAATGAGGAATGGTTGAAAGGGTTTAAGCAGAGGAGTACCATGATCAGATTTGTTTATTTCAAAATCCATTCTACTTACTCTGTTTGGAATGAAGAGGAGTGGAGAAGTTAGAATGGAGTGAAGATTTGAAAAAAGAACAACAGCTATGAGGTTGTTTCTGTAAACCATACTAGAGATGCTAGCAACCTGAACTAGGATGGCAGCAGTAGGAAGGCAGCATGCTACATACTTAAAAGTTAGGGGCTACAATTGACTAGACTCAAAGGTCTAGGAGGAGACGGGAGTAATTAGAAATCACTCGTTACCTTTTAGGTTTGAGCAGCTGGTAGAGGAAGATTCCAGACACTGCGATTGGGTTGACAGGGACAAACATGTTTGGAATGAAAATCTGTTAAGTTCAGTTTTATACATGTTGAGATTTGTATTTATAAAACATCAAAATGAAGATATAAATAAGTCCAAGATAAGGAGAAAGATCTAGAGTGGAGACAGATGTGGGCAGCCTCAGTAGATAGATGGAATCCATGGGATGGATGAGAATGTCTAGGGAGAAAATATACAATAGAAATACATAAATGATCCCAGGGAAGAACCTTGAAAATCTCTTACATTAAATGGTCAAAAAGAGGCTGAGAAAATGAAAGAAAAGCAAGATTATGGCTTCAAAGAGCCAAGAAATAGTCCAACATGTACAATGCTAGAGATAAAGAAAAGAGGGATCCCTAAATTATCATGAAGTTGTCTGTGAACTGGTTGAGAACAGTTTCAGTAAAGAAAGATTAATCACAGTTGCAGCACTTACTTATGCCATATATGCTCAAGCCCATCACTTAGTTTCTTCATCTGCAAAACAGGAAAAATGCCCACCGTCTGTCTACCTCATGGTTTTGTTATGAGGATTACATTAAATACCGGATCTGAAAGTACTTTATAAACATTAAACAGAGGGTATAAAGTAGTATTATTAAATTGTGTTGTTTTGACAATGTTCACAAATGCCAATTCTCTGTTTCACCCACATGGCAAGCTGATGGGCACTGGCCAATGTAACGTATCAGCAGAATGGACTCACTGCTAGGCAAAAGCTGTAAGAAATAGTGCATAGTTCAACATGCTTCTCTTTGCACTGTGACCACCTCTACAGAAGCATGTTTCAAAACAAATCCTTCATAAGCCTAGATTTTTGAGTGACTGCCATGAGGAGGGCCCTCTGGCTGACTCATGCTGACATGTAATATGGGAACAATTAAATGTTGTTTTAAAGCACTAAGATTTTGGAATTATAACAACTAATTGTAGTGTAACAACAAGTAAATAACTAAATAAAAGGTAGAAAAATCAAGTGGAAAATGCTATTTTGGGAGGTCATCAATGAGACAACATGGAGGTGGTCAGTCATGCTAATAATGTACTAATTTTTATTTTATAGCAGAGTAACTCATTAATCCTCTACACTTGATTCAAAATTCTCACAGGTACAGAAGGTGAAAAGAACAACTAATGAAGGTGATATGGTTTGGTTGTGTCCCCACTCAGATCTCATCTTGAATTCCCACGTGTTGTGGGAGGGACCTGATGGGAGGTAACTGAATCATGGGGGCAGGTCTTTCCCACGCTGTTCTCCTGATAGTAAGTAAGTCTCACGAGACCTGATGGTTTTAAAAAGGGGAGTTTCCCTGCACAAGCTCTCTTCTCTTGTCTGCCACCATGTGAGACATGACTTTCACCTTCTGCCATGATTGCGAGGCATCCTCAGCCACTTGGAACTGTAAGTCCAATAAACCTCTTCCTTTTGTAAATTGCCCAGTCTCAGGTATGTCTTTATCAGCAGCATGAAAACGGACTAATACAGAAGGGGAAAAGGCCAAGGTAAAGAAGGGAAGGAACATCCAAAACATCCTAAGGGAACATCCAAAAAATTTCAAATCAAAAGATATCTGTTGGGGAAGGATGAGACAGTCCATCAAAGAGAAATTTCCTTCTTCATCACCTTAATTATATACTGTTGTTTGTACCTCAAATTTTCTTCACTCCTTAGTAAGCATACTTTGCACCTAAGTGTTTGACTGGTTATGTATTTGTGTTAGGCCAAAGACACACAGTCCAAATGGATTATCAGAAATAAATGGAAAATTGGACAAGGAACTAAGACCAGATTGTATGAAGGAAAAATGTTTTATTCTTCAAGTGTTAACAATAGAAGTTACCACTAACAAATGCCAAATTACTATTTGATATGCCTAAATGGAACATGTATGCTAGCAAATGGCCATTACTCAGAACCAAGGACAAAAGTAAAATCCGGGTCAGAGTGAGGCATGAGGGCCCACTGGACGAGACTTTTCACCAAGCACACTGGATTCTCTTCCCTTCTTTATCTTGGCCTTTGTTCCCTTCATTAGTTTTGGCAAACCATGAAAGAAGATTATAAATGCTTCAATCCCAGTGGAGTTGGAAATAAAGTACATGAAAGAAACACTTAATAAAGAATGTTAATCTGTTTGTGTCATTTAAAAAAAAAAGGAAGGGGGTGTAGATAAAACATTTCCACAACTCTTCTTTAATAAATATCTTAAGTGTCCTTTTACAAAGCACACAGGTAAATTAATGTCATGGTTACAAGGACATCAAAAAAAAAATCTAACCACTACCTTTAATCACTATCTTTTGTTCTAAATTTTTTCTGACTATTTCTAAATCAAATCCAACCTTAAACCTATGACGATTATGCACTAAGTTTCTCTGAAAGCATATACTGTAAATTCTGAAAACAATTTCACAAGGCTGCTCCTCATATGGTTTATATAAGAGCATAATCATCTGATTAAGTGAGGGACAGCTCAAGGTGATTATTTTACAGAGGCCTCATTCACTACTATATACAAGCTCAAGAATGAAACTTCACATCCCTTACAATCCCTAGAGCAGTGTTTTATTTATAGGAGTTCCTCAATAAACACTTGCTGATTTGAATGCATTTAATACCTGAAAATGCTAGGACACAAACAATTTGCTGGGCTTTTTTCAAACTCCAAATCAACCCATTTTCATTACTCTCAACGCTCCTTCATGCCAGTTAACTAGTTGGATGTTTTCCATCACTCGAAAAATTGGCCATGTATATTCTGTTGCCAGGATAGTTTCCATTCTGCAGTGTCTCTCCTAAAAGGGGAGAAACTATTAAATCAAAATGGGGTAACCTCACAAGTATAACTATTACAACTTGTATAATAGCTCTTTTACTTCAAACAACAACGACAACAGAAAAAGACCTGTACCTTTTTAGTGGAACTTATGAATAGAATTATTAGCCCAGTAACTAAAGTTGTATGGTACACAATGGTAGAAGACAAGCTAAAACGACATTGGCCTGTAAAAGTTGCTTTCCTGACCTTTCTCCCTCTTCAAGATGGTTAAAGTCACACACGGACAAATGTTGATGTACATTTAACTTCTCAATGTTGATCCAAGGGGAGAAAAAATTGATCAATGTAGGTGTAATCTTCCCCTAAATGAGGAATATTAGCAAGGAAAAAACAAAAGGATATAGTGTCTGCCTGAAGGAATCCTCTTAGATATAAAATCACAACATTTGCTATGAAATAAACTAGAAAGTTTTAAATGCGTAATTACACGTGCCAGGAGTTATGCCCACGTTACTCCACAGGCCCACGCTAGTGGGTGCCAAAGTCAGAAAACCTGCAGCGGCGGTGAGTCACTCCCCAGCAGCACTCTGGGGAATAAGTGTTGGAGCCACAGCACGTACCCTATGGCGCAAGACCGCTGATTAGAACAGAGGGGAAAGGGGATGAGGAAAGAAGTTTCTTCAGCGCCCGCTCCGGGCACCAGCGCTGTCAAACCTGCCACTACGGAAGCCACAGAACCCGGTTACCCGAGTCACCCCGAGCCCCGCCCACTCAGGTTCCTCCCCGCCTGGGGCGGGGTTGGCGCGCGAGGGCCGAGGGGCGGCCCGTGTCCCGAGACGGCTCCTGGGAGGCGGGCTGCCTGTCTAAGTGGGGGTGGTGGGATTCCGGCGGTACCTGCGCTGGAAGTCCACGGCGTAGGGCTTCAAGTACGGGTCGATCTCCAGGAGTCTGGCCAGTTCGGGCACGTCAGCCAGGGCGGCATTGAGCGCCGCCTCGTAGTCCTCGGGCCGAGCCGCGGGAGTCATCGGAGCCGCCATATTCCGCCGCAGTCCAAGTAGCCGAGGCCCGAGAGGTCGAGTGGGGCCTGAGCGGGCGCTGGAGCTCTAGCTGGGACGCGGCGGCTAGGGCGGAGCCGGAGGGCGCCTAGGCGTGTCGAGGCAAGCCGAGGCGAGCCGCGGCGGTCCGGGGCCCTTTATAGCCGGGACGGAAGGCCTCCTGCCCTTTCTCCCCCCGCCAGCGGGGAGGAGCGGATCCCGGGGTGATGCCGGGACGCACGTCCGGAGCGGGTAGGAGGCACCGAGGCCTCTCCGCCCACTCACGCGGCTGGCACCTGGAGGCCGCAGGGACCTGCCCTTTCCTCCCCTTAACGGTTTTTTCCTGCTGGCGGAGGTCATTCTAGGAGGTGGGTCCCAAGCTGACCTCGCTCAGCCTTGGCCTTCCTCACCCTGACATATTCTTGGCTTTTCTTTACCCACTTAAGCACCCACTGACAGCGACCCCTTCAAATTGGACATAAGGGGTTTTTTTGGAAAGGACCGTATTTCTCAAAGTTCTGAGACTTTTGAGGGGCAGTATTTCAAACATATCATGTAAATTCACAGAGAGGGGAACAGTCAAGTGTAGCTAGAGTACTACTGCTGAAAATGTTAATACCTCTTACAACCAGGACTCTCCTAAGTTTGCCAGGTCACGTGAATTTAAAATTAACCAAGACACAGAATCCTGGAATACCGTTGGAATTCTGCTGTTCTGGTACTCTTTTCTGCATTACCAACAGCTAAGAATTTTAGCCATGGGAAGAACTTTTCTCATTCTCCGTAAGGCCAAAAAGGAAAAGGCATTTGCCTGTGTTTATAATTGTTAACAAGCTTTTCAACGATTAAACTACCTTTGATAACACAAATGATATCATTGAATTGGAACTCCACTCTGCCACTTACAGTGATAAGGCAAGAAACCTCTCTTCCTCTTGGCTTGGGAAGCTCCCACTTGGAATTCCCTTCTTTTATTGCCATTAACTGACTAGCTTCTATTTCAATAATTGCTTTTTAGGAATACAGAGTTGGACTCCAAGAGAGATGGACCCACCAAACCCAGGAGGGTCCAAGCTGCTTTACACCTAGAAACTAGAGAGGATTGAGGATATTTTTCTTGTTAAAACCCAGAACTGGAGGATCCTAGGGGTTATGGAGGAGAAACAGTATTAATCAGCCGTGGGCCTTGAATTTTAAAATATTTCAAAGGAAAGTTTTTATAAGGGGTTTCATAGACTTGAAAGATAAGTGGATATGAAGACAGACCTCAGTGTGAAAAAGTGAAGGACTTGAACGACTTTAAGACGTGCCTTGTTTTCCATAAAGATGACAAAAAACTGCTGCAGACATTTGTAAAATATAAAGCACTAAAAAAGGAAGAAAATTAAAAAAAAATAAAAACCCGAAGCAGGACAACTATTAATAACAGACCCACAGATCTACATCTCCAAGCCTAAACTTTTTTCAGAAACCCAGGCTTGTATCACTGCCTGTCTACTGAGATTTCCATTTAGCTGGCTAGGAGACCTAAACAAACTGTCTGCAAAACGTGACCTAGAATCCGTCTTCTCATCCTTCCTGCTGTCACTCTTATGCAGGCCACTGTTTTCCTTCACTTGGACCAGAATGTAGCTCTCTAACTGACTTCCCCTCTTCTACTCTTTCTCACCTCTACTCCATTCTCTGTACCAGTGTTTCTCACACTTTAATGTGCATATGAATCACCTAGGGATCTTAATTGAGTTCCGATGTGGTGCTTCAGATTGCATTTTTAACAAGCTCAGAAGTGATTCTGATGCTGGTGGTTGGGGACACAGTTTGGTGAGACTCTACACTGAGTAAATCAGACGATGTCATTTAGCAACTTAAATAGCATAGTATTTCACTTAGGGTAAAATAGAAACAGCTTATCATTCTCTAACAAGGCTTGTATAATCTGGACCCTGACTACCTTTCCAGCCACTTTTCTCATCATTTTCCAGTTTTACTATGCTCTAGTCACACTGACTTTCCTGGAACTCAGTGAATTTGTTGTATAATAGCCTCTAAGATTATTTGCTTGCTGTTCTCTCTGTTGGAAATTTTCAGGGAGCTGAGCTCTACTTGCTTAATTTTTTCCAAGCCTTCATTCCAGCCTCAGCAAAAATGTCACCTCATACCTGAGAAACTTCTGATTATAGACTCCTCAGTGTCTTCTGTATAACTTCAATCTCTTCTATGCAACAGTTAACAGAATCTAGGTGTTTGTTTTTCTCCTATTTATTGACCTTTCCCTTTAGAACCTAAGCTCCCCACGAGCACGATCCTAGCGTACATATCTGCCTACCTAGGTGGTTCACCATTGAGCACATATTTATTGAAGTCCCATGTGCCGGCCATTTTCCCACGTACTGTGGATAAATGATAAGACAAGTCCCAGTTGTCATACTCTATTGGGGGTAGGAGGGAGAGGAGACACAATTACCAGTGAAATACATAAAATAATACAAAACAATGTCAGATAGTGGTAAGTGCATTGTCGAGAATTAAAACTGAGCAAATATCTGTGTTAGTTCCGGTCGTCAAGAAAGGCCGTTCAGAACTGACATTTAAGCTGAAGTGTGATGACAAGAAGAAATGAGCCATGAGAGGAAGAGCATTCCAGAATGGCAGAGTTCGTGCAATGGAGGAATTGAATTGGTCTTTTAAAAAAAAAAAAAAATCTAGCATACCCGGTGTGTAATGAGGAGTGGCAGGAATTGTGGTGCAAGAGCTAGGCAGCTGTTCGTTCATATAGGCCCTTTAATGTCCATTTAAGGGATGCTATTGGAGAGTTTTCAGCAGAACACTGATATGATATGGTTTAATTATTAAAATATTCTATGTGGCAAATGAATTATAAGGATACAAGAATGGCAATAGGGGTGCCATTCTTGTGGGAGACAAGGGAGACAATTAGGAGGTGATTAACATTGCCTAGGCATGAAATGATGATGGCTTGGTCTGGGGTAGCAGATAAAATGATGAAATAAAGATTTGGGATGCATGATATAATGAATGCCTAAACTATTATGAAGTCATTTAGTGTCTGTATTAGTTACCTAGGGCTGTAGTGATTAAGTACCACACACTAGGTAATTTAAGCAACAAAAATTTGTCACCTTACCCTAGTTCTAGGGGCTAAAAATCAAGGTGTCCACAGGTTTGGTTCTTTCTGGGGGCTCTGAAGGAGAATTATTCCATGCCTCTCTCCTAGCTTCTGGTGATGGCCAGCAATCTTTGGCATTTCTTGGCTTATAGTTGCATCATTTGGATCTCTGCCTCCATTGTGACATGGCATTTTCCTGTGTCTCTGTCTCTTCACATAGTGTTCTTTTTATTAGGTCACCAGCCTTATTGAATGAAGGACACACCCTATTTCAGTATGACCTCATCTTAACTAATTATATCTGCAATTATTATATTTCCAAATAAGGTCATATTCTGAGGTAATGTTAGGTTAAGACTTCAGTGTATCTTTTTGTGGAGAAATACAATTCAACCCATAACATTTTTGACACACCAAAACAGAGAAAATATTTGAGAAATAGAGTTTATAAGATTTGGTGACTGATTGGATATGAAAGTGAAAAGGGAATTAAAGATTGAACTTCTGAGCCTGGGGGAATTCTGTCTAGCAAAAATAAAGAAGGCCTTGAAAGAGGGAGAACTAAGTTCAAGGTGTCAGCTCCTGGATACCCAAGTCAATATGGCAGCTGGAAATGTAATTCTGGTGCCTAATAGATCATGTAGGAATGAAGATAACAATTAGAGAATGATCCATATGCGTTTACTAGCTAACGGTGGCAAATAGGAGATCCTCAATAAATATTTTGAAACCTTTCTTTCTTGGTATTTGAGTCTCATGTCACATGTTTGCTTTTCAATAGTTTGCATTACAAAGCCAAAGAGTTACTGATAATGTGCTACATCACAGTTGAACCTTAAAAACATAGCAAGTGAAAGAAACCACTCACAAAAGACCACATATTATATGATTCCATGTATATGGAATGTTCAGAATATGCAAATCTACAGAGAAAGAAAGCAGATTTTTAGCTTCCTAGGGCTGGAGGGCAGGGGAAACGAAGAGTGAGTGCAAGTGGATATGCGATTTCTTCTTGGTACACATTTTCTAAAATTAGTTGTGGTTATGGTTTCATGGCTCTGTGGATATACTAAAAACTAATTGTACACTTTAAATGGATGAATTGTATGGTATGTGAATTATGTCTCAAAGCTATTTTTAAAAAGATTCTGAAGGATAAAATAATACTAAATATGCTTTTTAAAAGGCAAATGATTTATACCAACTAAAGATAAACTAGACTATATAAATATACCTTTTAAAATTACATATCCCCCTCGTTGAAAATCATTAGCAATGAAAAAGAAAATCAGAGAGCAGAAAGAAAAAAGAAGTAACTTTTTTTTTTTTTGAGACAGGGTCTAGCACTGTCCCCCGGGCTGGAGTGCAATGGCGTGACCTCGGCTCACTGCAACCTCTGCCTCCTGGGTTCACGCGATTCTCCTGTCTCAGCCTCCCGAGTAGCTGGGATTTCAGGTGCACACCACCACACCCTGCTAATCTTTTGTATTTTTAGTAAAGATGGGGTTTCACTATGTTGGCCAGACTAGTCTCAAATTCCTGACCTAGTGATCTGCTGGCCTTGGCCTCCCAGAGTGCTGGGATTACAGGTGTGAGCCACTGTGACCAGCCAAATAAGTAACTTTTAAGAACAAGGAGTAGTGTTAAAGGGGAATGTGGCTTCTGACAAGAAAAAGGAGAACTTTCAGAAAAAAAGAGAGTGATCGGTGTTAGCCCTACTATCTTTTAAAATGTGATGGAGGACCCAGGGTCTATGGTTGTTTCATTTTCTCATCGTATGTGCTTTTGACCTCAAGTTTGTCTCCTTATGGTCATAAAATGGCTGCCACAGCTCTACGCATCACTCTCCTATAATGTGTCCGGAACCGGTGGGTTCTTGATCTCACTGACTTCAAGAATGAAGCCGTGGACCCTCGCAGTGAGTGTTACAGTTCTTAAAGGTGGCGTGTCCGGAGTTTGTTCCTTCTGATATTCGGATGTGTTCAGAGTTTCTTCCTTCTGGTGGGTTCGTGGTCTGGCTGGCTCAGGAGTGAAGCTGCAGACCTTCGCAGTGAGTGTTACAGCTCATAAAGGCAGTGTGGACCCAAAGAGTAAGCAGCCGCAAGATTTATTGCAAAGAGCAAAGAAACGAAGCTTCCACAGTGTGGGAAGGGACCCCAATGGGTTGCCACTGCTGGCTCACAGCCTGCTTTTATTCTCTCATCTGGCCGCACCCACATCCTGCTGATTGGTCCATTTTACAGAGAGCCAGGTGGTCTGTTTTGACAGGGCGCTGATTGGTGCGTTTACAATCCCTGAGCTAGACACAGAGGTTCTCCACCTCCCCACTAGATTAGCTAGATAGGGAGTGTTGATTGGTGCATTCACAAACCGTGAGCTAGACACGAGGTGCTGATTGGTGTGTTTACAAACCTTGAGCTAGATACAGAGTGCCAATTGGTGTATTTACAATCCTCAGCTAGACATAAAGGTTCTCCAAGTCCCCACCAGAGTAGCTAGATACAGAGTGTCAATTGGTGCATTCACAAGCCCTGAGCTAGACACAGGGTGCTGATTGGTGTGTTTACAAACCTTGAGCTAGATACAGAGCACCGATTGGTGTATTTACAATCCTTACCTAGACATAAAGCTTCTCCAAGTCCCCACCAGACTCAGGAGCCCAGCTGTCTTCACCCAGTGGATCCCGCACTGGGGCCACAGGTGAAGCTGCCTGCCAGTCCTGCGTCCTGCGCCCTGCGCCCTTCGCCCGCACTCCTCAGCCCTTGGGTGGTCGATGGGACTGGGCGCGTGGAGCACGGGGCGGCGCTCGTCCGGAGGCTTGGGCGGTATAGGAGCCCACTGAGCAGGGGAGGCTCAGGCATGGCGGGCTGCAGGTCCTGAGCCCTGCCCCGCGGGAAGGCAGCTAAGGCCCAGCGAGAAATCGAGCGCAGCACCGGTGGGCCGGCACTGCTGGGGGACCCAGTACACCCTCCGCAGCCGCTGGCCAGGGTGCTAAGCCCCTCATTGCCCGGGGCCGGCGGGACAGACCGGATGCTCCGAGTGCGGGGCCCGCCAAGCCCACGCCCACCCGGAACTCCAGCTGGCGCGCAAGCGCCACGCGCAGCCCCGGTTCCCGCTCGCGCCTCTCCCTCCACACCTCCCGGCAAGCTGAGGGAGCCGGCTCCGGCCTTGGCCAGCCCAGGAAGGGGCTCCCACAGTGCAGGGGCGGGCTGAAGGGCTCCTCAAGTGCCACCAAAGTGGGAGCCCAGGAGAGGAGGCGCTGAGAGCGAGTGAGGGCTGTGAGGACTGCCAGCACGCTGTCACCTCTCAATAAGGCCATATAAAAGGTAAAGAAAAATGCATTTCTCCTGTGTCTTTGCCAAGAGGAAAACTTTTCCCAGATGTCACTATCAAACTTCTTGTATCTCTTTGGCCAGAACTAGGTCACATGCCTACCCTGAAACAAGTGGCATAGAGTAATGTAACTTTTATGAGTAGCTTAAACTAATTGTCATTCACTGCTTGAGTTGGGACCACCTTCCATTACTGTCCAACATATGAATAAAATGGTGGTTCTGTTCCCATGGAAGAAAAGGGATGGCTAATCAACATGTGTGCCACATTTTTCTTTTCTATTCATCATAGATTCCACTACCCATGAAACTTGCCAGTGCTGTTAACTAACTTGTCGCCTTGTGATTTTGCCATACTCACATGACAAAACCCCAATCTGGGACCAATCAATTTGCCTTCTCCATTCCTGCATCCAGAGTACTATGAATGTCACACATACACACACAGAGATGCACACAGACACACACACTATAATTGTAGGAACTAATTTCATTAAAAATTTACCTTAGCTTTAAAAATCCTCTCCTCACACAAGGCCACTACAGTTTTACAGGCCACATACTACGTGAGCTATGCCCAGCAATTGAAAGCATTCACTCTACTCTCAGAGAGGAGCCTTCCCTTGCTCCACCACAGAAGTGCATCCTGCTTCTCAAGACATGAATTCCTTAGAAGTGTATTAACCTGCCAGGCGCGGTGGCTCACGCCTGTAATCCCAGCACTTTGGGAGGCCGAGGTGGGCAGATCACGAGGTCAGGAGATCGAGACCATCCTGGCTAACAAGGTGAAACCCCGTCTCTACTAAAAATACAAAAAATTAGCCGGGCGCAGTGGCGGGCGCCTGTAGTCCCAGCTACTCGGGAGGCTGAGGCAGGAGAATGGCGTGAACCCGGGAAGCGGAGCTTGCAGTGAGCCGAGATTGCGCCACTGCAGTCCGCAGTCCGGCCTGGGCGACAGAGCGAGACTCCGTCTCAAAAAAAAAAAAATAAATAAAAAAAATAAAAAAAAAAAAAAAAAAAAAATACAAAAAAACCAGGCATGGTAGCACGCGCCTGTACTCCCAGCTACTCTGGAGGCTGAGGCAGGAGAATCGCTTGAACCCAGGAGGCAGAGGTTGCAGTGAGCTAAGAACATGCCACTGCACACCAGCCTGGGCAACAGAGCAAGACTTCATCTCACAAAAGAAAAAAAAATGTGTTAACCAAGAGAAGGCACCTTTTTCTATTCCACACAATGGCACAGTGTAGGTGATAGTAGCCTTGTCCTTCTCTTCTTTTCTCTCTCTCTCTCTCTCTCCCTCTCCCTCCCTCCCTTCCTCCCTCTCTCTCTCTCTTCCTGTCTCCTCCTCTCTTGCCCCCCTCCCCTTTGCCCCTTAGTGATAACACTCTTCTTTCTTCATTTCCAGGCATTTGAGATATTATCCTATTTCAGTTTTTAGTGCACTGTGGGCTGTCTGGGCTGTGGCTATGCATGGCCACTGTGGGAGAGGATAAAGAAAACAAAACAGAAGATTCCTGAGCAATGGGGAGAGCCCAGCTGAGACTGGACATCAAACACCTCAAATAGTGCTGTGTGGCTGTACCGTTAGATTTTGTTCAGCATTGCTTAATAGACTGAGTATGTAAGCACCAAGTATAAATATTTTAATGAAGTTAGGGTTAGAAATGCACAGGATGAGTACAGCAGAAGGTCAGTAGGGCTGAGAAACTTCTGGCACTCGTGAACATGCCATACAAATGCTTAGCCATGGAATTCAGCTAGTGAGGATGGTTAAAACAATAAAGGAATTGGTGAAAATCTTTATTAGCGCTGGACCATTGATTTAGCAAGGATAAGAAAACTGGTTGGTAAATGAAAGTTGTTCTTAGATGTTAACAAAGACTCTGGATCCAGACTGCCTAAATTCTGATTGGCGCTTCATCATTTGTAACCTTGTCAAGTTACTTTATCTCCCTATGGCTTCGCTTTCTTAACTGCAAAATGTGATAAGGATTAAATAAGAATATTTAATAATTTAATAAGTTCTTAGGATAGTGCCCAGCATATTGTAGATACTATATAAGTGTCAGCTATTATTATTATTAATGGACTATGAACTTACTTTAAAAGGAAATGTGGCTTTTTCAGCAATGCATATATAACAGACACTCAGATTTTCCTATAATAGTATTTAAATTTATTCAGTGATTCTGGATATGAAATACTTAAACATGGAGGAATTATGAGGATGGATAACTTTATTTAATATTAAGTACTTAATATTAAATACTAAATGAAATATTGAAGTACCTACCGTGCGTATGGCATAATGTTAAAGCATTATGATGATATAAAGACCTGTGATATGATCCACTAAGGTCTTCACAATATGAAACATTTTGTAAATAAAATGTCAACAATGACAGCTCCAAATCCTATACAGTTGTATTAAAATTGTATTTTAAGGTGTAATCATAATTTTTAATCCCATTATTTATCTCTCTCTTGCTCTTTTGTTCCCCTCCCTTTCCCAAATGTATTAACTTCTTTGAAATTAAATAATTTGAGTATTTATTCCTTCACATTCCTCCACGAAAAGATCTAACACTGGATAAGGCAGTGGTTACACAATTCTATAAATTTACCAAAAATCATTCCATTAGACATGTAAAACAGGTGAATTTTATGTATGTAAATTATACCTCATAAAGCTATTTGTAAAATTTAGCCATGAAACTATCTCAGAATCTCCATTGAAAGGTAGATTTAATGCCTAGTAAGTGTTGGTTCCCCATCTACAAACTAACAGCCACTTATTTTCTTAATCCAGCAGAGGTTGTGACCACCTAAACTTCCTCTCTAACCTTCCCCTCTTAGCACCTACCCAGCTTCTCAAGAGAACCCTGGGGAAAGAGACTGTCATTCCGTCTTGAGACCTATTCATCCTCTAACATCTCTACTTAGATGGCCAACTGACGAGTGTTCAGGGTGATGGGGATTTTTGCCACCCGAAAACCAGAGTAAAGCAAACAGCCTTTTCCTGAGATGGTACTGAATAGTTTTTAAATGATAATGATTTTCAATTACTTTTGTCCTACATTGAATGAGAACCAGTAACCTCAAGGTGAAAGCCTCTAACTGTCAGGACAAATCCTCTGAGCATCTAGTCCTTTCCATTAGAATAGAAACAACTTCCCTGAATCTCAAACCTACCTGAAAAAACTGGCAATTTTTATTTCACTCAAAGTAACAGGCTTCCTTTATGCCTCTATGTTATCTCTAGTAATCATTTTATATCTGAAATTTTAAGTACTCCTTGGTTGTTCCTTATTTGAAATATTTGCAAACATTTTAGGCATAAAATTATGTAAGAATGGATTTGATAACTGAGCTTATCAAGAAGAAGCTATTTTGGAAGGAGACTAGAGTGACTCTTTAGAATAAAAGCTAATAATACACAGTGTCTTCTACAATCTGTGCACTGTTCAAATGTGTGTGTGTGTGTTAATATGAAGTTATGTATGTGTTTGTGTATTTTAATATAAAGTTGTATTTGTGTGTGTATTTTAACATAAAAAGGTGTGTGTGTGTATGTGCATGTGTGTATGTATGTGTAAAATCCTATGAGAAAGGTACAGAGCCAAAGAAAATTGCGCAAAGTGGTGCACCTAGCAGGAGTCAGGATTTGAACCCAGGTAGATCTTTTGCACAGTGCATGCTCTTAAGAACTGTTTTATACTGCCTCTCAGAAAGATGAATATGAAAGATAATAGCATGTTTGCTAAGTATTTAAGACAAAAGTCAGACAAGCAAAATTTAAAAGACTATGAATCTATTAACTTTACCTGAGTGAAACCCAGGTCCCTGACAAACTCAACCAATCCAGAATAAAGCAAAGATCCAAGAAATGTGGTGGTGACGATGTGTGTGTGTGTGTGTGTGTGTGTGTTGGGTGGGGGGGGGGGGCGGTGAATTATCACATAAAATTTAAGTCATGAAGCCCATGGATTAAATCTTCATTCAATGTACTAATCAGAAGACACTTCCAACTATTGTCACTTATTGTGTAGCTGGAATGATGATCCCCTCAAAATATATCCAAGTTCTAATTTCTAGAACCTATGAATGTTACCTTGTTGTTTAAGCCTCCATGGAGTCAAATTCTTACCTTATTTGGTATAAAGATGTAATTAAGTTAAAGATCTGGAGATGAGATCATTTTGGATTATCTGGGGTGGTCTAAATCCAATGACAACAGAAGAGACATGCAGAGGAGACAGTTACAGAGAAGACTAGGAGACAATCAAAGATTGAAGGGGTGCAGGTACAAGTCAAGAAATGCCAACAGGCACCTGAAGCAAGAAGAGGTAAACAACAGATTCTCCACTAGAGTTTCCAGAGGAAATGTGGCACTGATAGCACTTTGGTCTCTGACTTTTGGCCTCCGGAAGTATGAAAGAATATGTTTCTGTAGTTTGGCAGCCTCAGCAAACTTAATACATGTGTTTAGTCTTTTTGAAATGAGTTCTCAGTGATTGTAAGACAATCTGTAGAAGTGTACCAGCTCAAAGCAACTCAGTGAATTTAGGAGGGAAAAGCAGAGTTGCCCTATTATAGCTATTAATATATCTAATAAAAGTCACAGCAAGTAATCTTCCTCGTCTCTTGCTTCACCCCAATAGGAGGATTCGATGTAGTGCTCTAATTGGCCTGCTAAAAGGACAAGCAGCTCTGATAATATTGAGATGAATTATAATTATGATAGATCAAAATGTGTTAGAATACTGCTTCTGTGAAAAATGAATCATAATCATCTCCAGAATCAACTTTCGAACATTACATTTCTAAATTCCACATAGCTTATAGTAGTGTTTTGCTCAAGAGAATTCTCTTTAAAACTATATTATCACTGGAGTGGAGAAAAAAAAGCTGACCAAAGTAAACTTTGGAAAACAGTGTTTTGACTGGATACTGGAAGGCTAAAAGCAAGAAGAAATGTACATAAACACTGTATTCTAATTGGCAAATTTAGTTTTCACAGGGGTATGGGCTAGGAATTCAGAAGCTACTCTTCAAGTATACTACAGTTGAACAAGTAAGATGGACATGACAAATAAGCAATAGGAGAAAAATATTATAAACCCTGTGGTGCTAAATTAGAATCAGATAGCTGTATTAACTCACATACACACAAATAGGTAAATACAGAAATATGTGTGTGCATGTAGGTGGATGGGTGGGTAGGTGTGGCTGTGTGTACATGGGTTTGTATAGTACGAATATTTCTTAGCTCTGTCTACTGAGACAGTATAGAAGCAGTGACGAAACAGTGAAAAGAAGCATACCCAGCGCCCAGCCCTTTACACCATATTCCATTAAAGGAAATGGCTAACTCTAGGGTGAGGTAAGGAAAGTGAGAGATGAGTTTGGATTTTATAGTGACAGAAAGTAAAACTAAAAAGTGTTTATATATATTTATGTATATCTTCCATTTGGACACATGGGGCATGAACACAAGAGTCAACCCAAAAGAGTCCCCATGGTCCAAGCAGAAATCATTTGAATAACAAAATAAATAACAGTAGTATTAGATTATAGCCTCGAGAGTAAAGTAAATATCTATGAGTATACCCTAATATAAATAATAGATTAAGCACATCAGTAAATTGGGGAGAAAGAAAAACAATTACAGAAAAATTCCAAATTTATATAGAGCCTCCCCGCTCAGGAGATGGAGCTTAATTCTCCTCCACTTGACTGTGGGCTGGACTTAGTTATATGCTTTCAAATAATAGAATATGGAAATAGGAAAACAGTAAATTTATAGGGGAGAAACCTGTCAGACTCACCTTAACCAAATGTCAATAGCACCAGTGATAAGACATGATATGACATAACCTTTGATGTGATGAGAAACACATTTCGCCTCTGAGATATTCTCCCTTGAAGTTCATTGATACTTTTTTTTTTTTTTTTTTTTTTTTGAGACAGAGTCTCCCTCTGTTGCCCAGGCTGGAGTGCAATGGCATGATCTCCGCTCACTGCAACTTCCACCTCCCAGATTGAAGCGATTCTCCTGCCTCAGCCACCCGAGTAGCTGGGACTACAGGTGCGTGCCACCACTCCCGGCTAATTTTTTGTATTTTTTAGTAGAGACGGGGTTTCACCATGTTAGCCAGGCTGGTCTCGATCACCTGACCTCATGATCCGTGTGAGACAATATCAGACAAAACCAGACTGAGGGAGATTATGCAAAACACATAACTAGTACTCTTAAAAATAGTCAAGTTCGGCCAGGCACAGTTGCTCACACCTGTAATCCCAGCACTTTGGGAAGCCGAGGTGGGTGGATCACGAGGTCAAGAGATTGAGACCATCCTGGCCAACATGGTGAAACCCCGTCTCTACCGAAGATACAAAAATTAGCTCAGTGTTGTGGCGTGCACCTGTAGTCCCAGCTACTTGGGAGGCTGACATAGGAGAATCGCTTGAACCTGAGAGGCAGAGGAGGTTGCAGTGAGCCGAGATCGTGCTACTGCACTCCAGCCTGGCAACAGAGCGGGATCCCATCTCAAAAAAAAAAAAAGTCATGTTCGTGTATGAAAAACACAAAAGACAGAAAATGTCACTGATTGAAGGAGACTAAGGATGCATGATGAGTAAATGTGAAGCACTGTCCTGAAATGGATCCTGAAAGAGAAGAATGTTAGTGTTGAAATATAAATAAAGTCCATAGTTTACTTGATAGTATTGTTCCAATGTCAGTTTCTTCATTTTGACAAATGATTAAGGTGCTAGCAGAAAAAAAGTTGTGTGAAGGGCATATGGGAACTCTGTGCTATCTTGCCAACTTTTCTGTAAATAGAAAATTATTCCAAAATATATTTTAACCTATAATATTAACTATGACAAAATCTTAATATTTATCGATTTTGGAGAAAATACATGCAGGTTTAGAAAAATATTATTTCATGTATTTTTCTATAATTTTTTCTTAAACAAAAGATATTATAATACTAAGTTCCCCCCTTTTTCCAATGATAGTTTGTCCTTACATAAACCTTAGTTAATATTTAAATGAAAAATATACAATAATATTTTAATAATGTCATAGTTAATCAAAAATTTCTCTCTTCTTGCGGAATTAAGTGTAATGGATTTTCTGAGTTTCTATTAACTCTTTTGAGTTTACAAGGCTGCCACTTAGTTATCCGGTGGCATAGTGTTCTGAGAAATTTAAAGGAACTGCTACAAGTACCTAATTAATCCTTACAAAGTTGAGATAATCTGATTCATTAAAAGAACAATGTGTGCCTCGCACTGAACTAGAAATTTTTAATTACCATTTTGTACTTTGCCGATAACTTGATCTTCAGTGAAAGAAAGTGACTGTCTCTAGGTGATATACCAAAATGTTTAAGGCGCTGAGCTGCAGGAAATATAGCAAATCACAGGTAAATGACCTAAATTTTAAGAACTTATTTTTCACATGTTGAAATTGTATTCCTAGGCTATTTGATTCTTAAGACACTTCGAATAAGAACTCATTCTACCTATCTTTTTAAACAGTTATTTCATTTTAATAGTTGATACAAAATTTTCATAACATTGAATCACTTAAGTCATTGAACAATCTGACGTTACTTTCCAGTCTGAATTAATTCTTCCACTGTTTGCTTCCACCTATTTTTATTAAAATGTTTTCTTCTTTTCTAGAAACATTTCCCACTTGTTTAAGATTTTTTTTATTATTAGCAGTTGTAATAATGCCTTTTAAACTTGAAAATATTTAGTGTGCTCAAAGAGAATGCAGTGAAAACTAGGATATTGGTCTTGATATTGAATATTAAAGGTTTTTTTTCCCCAAAGATTCTGTTCTTACGTAAAACTAACAATCTAGGTATAAATTTACCTATATCAAAACTTCTTTCAAGAACTTTTTTAGAGATAACTAATTTTGCAGATATTCCTGCATAACCTACATTTAAAAACACCTACCAAATTAACTCTCATTGGTAAGATAATATTTCAGGAGACGGCTTATCATTTTACCTGAAAGAGTACCTGAAAGAATTACACTGTACTTTTGAGAGAAAAAAATGTTTGACAGAGGAAGGTTGAAACTTTTCTTCAGTAGGATGAAGTCAGAAAATTCAGTAAGATCTAAGAATAGCTCTCATATAAAAGGATCACAGAGGCTGGATTTGAGGTACACATTTCTGTGAAGTTCTCACTACTTATTAAATGGCAGATACTCTTACAGTATCTGTTTGTTTGTTCTTTCTTTAGTGAACAGTTAGGATTAAATTTCTTGCTTATTAAAACTGATACTTCACCAGAGTATGGGATTGTAATTAAATTAAAATATATATTTTATTTATATATATATATATATATATATATATATATATATATATGCATGTGTATGTAGAAGAAACTTTGATTCAGTATTTTACCATAAGCTGGATTTTCTACCCAAGACCTATATATAGAGTGTCTTGACCTGCCTATAGCTCATTTCCATTATTAAGATCAGCTGAGACTTCAGCTTTCAGCCAAGATGGAGTAATAAGGACAGGATTTATCCTACTGCGTAAAAAACAACAACAAAAATATCAAATCAAGGTATCAGACAACCAAAGACTGTGATTTCCGGGGGTGGAACACAAATGAGGTGAGTTGTGTAAATGTCTTAGCTTACTACAGTGAGAGAATTTCAAGCTACCGTTCAGGGAAGAGGAACATAGGGAGAGCCTGGCCTAAGGAGATGGAAGCTAAGAGTTCAGAGAGAACAAGCTAACTAGAGTTCATAGGACAGACTATCAGAAACGAGAAAACTTCACAGAGAAATAACCTTAGAGTCATGCAGAAAGTACCCACTAAGTATTCATCATAGTACAGATCACTGTATTCATTTGAGGAAACTGCCAGAAGCTGTGAAAGAACCATCCAAAAGAATTAAAGAGAACAGTGCTTAACATTCACACAAGGCCAGACAAAGTACCTCTTCCCTACAGCCAGACTGGAGGATTGGATAGAGTACTCAAAAAGGTCTTGTCTCAGTAGTTGAAAGTAATTTGCTCCAGACTGGGTAATATTCTGAACCCACCAAACAAATCTTAAAGAAAGTCCCTAAAGGACCTGATTCCATGTAACTTAACTGCATATAAGTTACAAAGTTTAAGAATATTTGTTGAAATATAAAATATCTACTCAACAAATAAAATCCACAAGGCATGGCATTTAATCAAAGATTTACAGACCTACAATTAAACAGGAAGATATAACTCACATTGAGGAGAGTCAATTAAAAATGACAGAGGTGTAAGAATTAGCAGATCCAAAGACGTAATTATTATACCTGGTTTCCATATGTTTAAAAAGTTAAGTAGAAATATTGAAGACAGGAAAAAAATCAAACTTTTAGAGATGAATGCTATAATATCTGAAATAAAAATTCAGCGTAGTGAAGAAATAGCAGTAGATAATTATGAGATATTATCAATGTCTCATAAGTTTTATTGATGATGTTTGTCAGATTGGATGAAACAGGAAGACCCAGCTCAATGCTACTTAAAATGAATTTACTTTAAATATAAAGATACAAAAATGATGCTATACTAACACTATTCAAAAGGAAGATAGTTTTTAAGAGCATGGGTTCTGGCCAGGGGCAGTGGCTCACGCCTGTTATCCCAGCACTTTGGGAGGCCGAGGCAGGTGGATCACGAGGTCAGGAGTTTGAGACCAGCCTGGCCAACATAGTGAAACCCAGTCTCTACTAAAAATACAAAAATTAGCTGGGTGCGGTAGCACATGCCTGTAGTCCCTGCTACTCAAGAGGCTGAAGCAGGAGAATTGCTTGAACCCGGGAGGCAAAGTTTGCAGAAAACTGAGATAGCGCCACTGCACTCCAGCCTGGGTGACAGAGCAAGACTCCATCTCAAAAAAAAAAAAAAAAAAAAAAAAAGAAAAGAATGGGTTCTGAAATCAGATTGTCCCGGTTTGAATACTGGTTTCATCTTTTAAAACCCTGGCAACTGTGGGCAAATTTTTAAATCTTTCTGTCCTAATCAAATGGGGATGGTATAATAACAACTGCATCATGAGTTCTTGTAAAGACAAATTAAAAGGTTATCATGTTGTAAGAGTTGAATAAATATTAGCTATTATTAAAATCCGTACATCTGCTTGAGAAATTTGGCCCTGAAAGGCAGGAGAAAAATAGATATATTTCTCCTTTTTTCTGGGTCACACAGTTACGGAGAAATTAAAGGACTTATGATGTTATAGTAACAGATATCACACCCTAATTAGAATTTTTTAGAATTGAGATTAGTACTTCACCAGACTCCTTCCTTTCTGTCCCTGACTTCTGAATCAGGAGGAGAAATTTGTCTGTAGCCCAGGTGCCTCACCAAGTTGCTATCCCTGCTGTTCCCAACCCTACACATGGGTGCCCATGATTCTCATAATTGCTGACCACCAAGATAAGGGCATGCAGAATGAAAGGTATGAGAAGGCTGTACTAGTAAGAGCTTAATTTTGAATATAAATATTCCTATTTATATATCATTTTCAATAAGAATCAAGAATATATTCTTTGTTACTATATGTATTAAAATATATTCATAAGAGAAATATATTTACAAAAGAATACATTTATTCTTTTGATTATACCATTTTTGGCCCCTCAATCTTTCTTTGTATTTCAGTCTCCCACTGCAGCAATAGAGATAAGAACAGAGATAAAAAATAAACATCCTTGAAAATACTTTGTGTAATTAAAGTAACATCTGGCGAACTAAAACGAGAGTTAAACAAGCACATTTGGTAAGTTAATCAGTGAATTGGATTCTGGCCAATTGTGACCTCTGACCTTGGGTTTGTTGAGATTCCTTTGCATACTGTTGAGAAATTTCTTCTTTTTACCTAGACTAGTTTGAAGTGATCCTTTACTACTTGCTTTCAAAAAAAGCTAGACTGACACACACTCTCCTCCATCTGGCTCCTTTCCATATGCGTGTAAACATGTTTCACATCTTCCCTTTCACTGTAAAGCTTCTTAAATGAATTTATAGTCTATAGTTTCATTCCAACTCATTCTCAGTGGTTTTTGCCTAAAATCACTGCCAAAACTGGCAAGTGAGTTCCCCATGAAACCCCCATGAGGTCCACGACAATAGCTGTAGTAATACAATCCCAGTTTTCATCTAGCTTAAATTTTTTTTCAGCAGTATATGACAACACTGACCCTCACCCCAAAAACTCTGCCCTTAGTTTCTTTAATAAAAAGTTTTCTGGATTTTCCTTTTCCTGATTTGACTGTACCTTCTTGTTCATCTCTTCTGTCACCTCTTTCTTTCCTAACTTATCCTTAAATGTCAGAGATCTGGAATTTCTTCCCTTTTTTCTTTGTTTTTCCTGCTTTTAATTTTTTTTCAGATGGTATACCACTGTATTAGTCTGTTCTCACACTGCTACAAAGAACTGCCTGAAACTGGGTAATTTATAAAGGAAAGAGGTTTAATTGACTTACAGTTCAGCATGGCTGGAGAGGCCTTAGGAAAGTTACAATCATGGCAGAAGGGGAAGCAAACACATCCTTCTTCACATGGTGGCAAGAAGGAGAAGGGCCAAGCAAAGAGGGAAATGCCCCTCATAAAGCCATCAGATCTCGTGAGAACTCACTCACTATCATGAAATCAGCATGAGGTAACTGCACCCATTATTAAATTACCTCCCACCGAGTCCCTCCCACAACACATGGGGATTATGGGAACTATAATTCAATATGAGATTTGGGTGGGGACACAGCCAAATCATATCATGCCATCCTTGGCCCCTCCCAAATATCAAGTCCTCACATTTCTTTTTTTTTTTCGAGATGGAGTCTCACTCTGTTGCCCAGGACAGAGTGCAATGGCGTGATCTCTGCTCACCGCAACCACTGCCTCCCGGGTTCAAGTGATTCTCCTGCCTCAGCCTCCTGAGTAGCAGAGATTACAGGCACCTGCCACCACATCCAGCTAATTTTTGTATTTTTAGTAGAGACAAGGTTTCACCATGTTGGCCGGGCTGATCTTGAACTCCTGACCTCTGGTGATCCACCCACCTCGGCCTCCCAAAGTGCTGGAATCACAGGCATGAGCCACCACACCCAGCCATGTCCTCACATTTCAAAACATAATCATGCCTTTCCAACAGTCCCCCAGATTCTTAGCTCATTCCAGCATTAACCAAAAAGTCCAAGTCCAAAGTCTCATCTAAGAGAAGGCAAGTCCCTTCCACTTATGAGTCTGTAAAATCAAAAGCAAGTTAGTTACTTCCTAGATACAATGGGGGTACAGGCATTGGGTAAATACCCCCATTCCAAGTGGGAGAAATTGGCCAAAGCAAAGGGGCTACAGACCCCATGAAAGTCCAAAATCCAATAGGGCAGCCATTAAACTTTAAAGTACCAAAATGATCTCCTTTGACTCCATGTCTCACAGCCAGGTCATGGTGATGCAAGAGGTGGGCTTTCATGGCTTTGGGAAGCTCTACCACTGTGGCTTTGCAGGGTACAGCCTCCCTCCTGGGCTGCTTTCATGGGCTGGCATTGAGTGTCTGTGGCTTTTCCAGGCACACAGTGCAAGCTGTCATTGTATCTACCATTCTGGGGTCTGGAGGACGGTGCCCTCTTCTCACAGCTCCACTAGAGAGTGCCCCAGTGGGGACTCTGTGTGGGGACTCCAACTCCACATTTCCCTTCTGCACTGCCCTAGCAAAGGTTCTCCATGAGGGCTCTGCCCCTGCAGCACACCTCTGCCTGGACATCCAGGCATTTCCATACATCCTCTGAAATGTAGGTGGAGGTTCCCAAACCTCAATTCTTGTCTTCTGCATAGCTGTAGGACACATGTAGTCATGTGGAAGCTGCCAAGGCTGGGGGCTCATATCCTCTGAAGCAATGGCCTGAGCTGTACTTTGGCCCCTTTTAGCCATTGCTAGAGTGGCTGGGATGCAGAGCATCAAATCCAAGGCTGCGCACAGCATGGGGGTCCTGGACACAGCCTGTGGAAACAGTTTTTCCTCCTAGATATCTGGGCCTGTGGTAGGAGGGGTTGCCTGGAAGGTTGGAGACATTTTTCCCATTGTCTTGGCAATTAACATTTGGTTCCTCATTACTTATGCAAATTTCTGCAGCCAGCTTGAATTTCTCCTCAGAAAACGGGTTTTTCCTTTCCATTGCATCTTCAGGCTGCAAATTTTTCAAACTTTTATGCTCTGCTTCCTCTTGAATACTTTGCTACTTAGAAATTTCTTCCACTAGATATCCTAAATCATCTCTCTCAAGTTCAAAGCTCCACAGATCTCTGGGGCAGGGGCAAAATACTGTCAGTCTTTTGTTAAAGCAGAGTAAGAGTGACCTTTACTCCAGTTCCCAACAAGTTCCTCATCTCCCTCTGAGACCACCTCCACCTGGAGAGTGACCTTTACTCCAGTTTCCAACAAGTTCCTCGTCTCCCTCTGAGACCACCTCCACCTGGAGAGTGACCTTTACTCCAGTTCCCAACAAGTTCCTCATCTCCCTCTGAGACCACCTCCACCTGGTCTTCATTGTCCATATCACTATCAGCATTTTGCTCAAAGCCATTCAACAAGTCTTTAGGAAGTTCCAAACTTTCTCACATCTTCCTGTCTTCTGAGCCCTTCAAACCTCTAGGAAGTTCCAAACTTTCCCACATTTTTCTGTCTTCTTCTGAGCCCTCCAAACTGTTTCAGCCTCTTCCTGTTACCCAGTTCTAAAGTTGCTTTCACATTTTTGGCTATCCTTACAGTAGCATCCCACTCCCAGTACCAATTTACTGTATTAGTCTGTTCTCATGCTGTTATAAACAACTGCCCCAAACTGGGTAATTTATAAAGGAAAGAGGTTTAATTGACTCACAGTTCAGCGTGGCTGGAGAGGCCTCAGGAAACTGAGAGAAAGGACTAGCTGGATTTTCTAGGCCGACTAAGAATTCCTAAGCCTAGCTGAGAAGATGACTGCACCCACCTTTATACATGGGACTTGTAACTCAGCTCACACCCGACCAATCAGGTAGTAAAGAGGGCTCACTAAAATACAAATTAGGCTAAAAGCAGGAGGTAAAGAAATAGTCAAATCATCTATCATCTGAGAGCACAGGGGGAGGGACAATGATTGGGATATGAACCCCAGGCATTTGAGCCGGGAGTGGGCAACCCCCTTTGGGTCCCCTCCCATTGTATGGGAGCTCTGTTTTCACTCTATTAAATCTTGCAACTACACACTCTTCTGGTCTGTGTCTGTTCCGGCTCAAGCTGAGCTTTTGCTCACCATCCACCATTGTTGTTTGCTGCGTGGCAGACCCACTGCTGACTTCCACCCCTCTGGATCCAGCAGAGGATCATAGGCGCTCCTGATCCAGTGAGGTGCCCATTGCCGCTCCCGATTGGGCTAAAGGCTTGCCATTGTTCCTGCATGGCTAAGTGCCTGGGTTCATCCTAAGCAAGCTGAATACTATTCGCTGGATTCCACGATTCTCTTTCATGACCCACAGCTTCTAATAGAGCTAGAACACTGACCGCATGGCCCAAGGTTCCATTCCTTGGAATCTGTGAGGCCAAGAACCCCAGGTCAGAGAACAAAAGGCTTGCTGCCATCTTGGAAGCAGCCACCACCATCTTGGGAGTTCTAAGGACAAAGACCCACCCTTAACACTATAATCATGGCAGAAGGGGAAGCCAACACGTCCTTTTTCACATGGTGGCAAGAAGGAGAAGTGACAAGCAAAGAGGGAAATCCCCTTGTAAAACCATCAGATCTCATGAGAACTCATGCACTATCATGAGAACAGCATGGAGATAACTGCCCCCATGATTAAATTACCTCCTACTGGGTTCTTCCCACGACATGTGGGGATTACAGAAATTGCAATTCAAGGTAAGATTTGGGGGGGAACACACCAAATCGTATCAGCCATGTACTCAGTTGCTCAAGAGAGAAAAAGCATCCATGACTCCTTTTTTAATAGCCCACATAAATCTTAATAATTCTACTTCCAAATAACTCTCAGGCTTATCCACTTTTCCCAGCTCTACTGCCAGCCACCCTGCTCTGATTCCCATCATCATTATCTCACCTGGACTACTGCAATGGCCGTCTAGTAGCCTACTGTATACAACTCATCTCTTTTCTAATCAATTCTATACTCTCCAGGTAGACCATTATAAAAAATAAAACCTAAATGAAAAACATGTGTTTAATCACATTAATAGCTTTCCATTTCTCTTAGAATTAAGTCCACATTTCTTTTTTTTTTTTAATTATACTTTAAGTTTTAGGGTACATGTGCACAACGTGCAGGTTTGTTACATATGTATACATGTGCCATGTTGTTGTGCTGCACCCATTAACTCATCATTTAACATTAGGTATATCTCCTAATGCTATCCCTCCCCCCTACCCCCACCTCACAACAGGCCCCGGTGTGTGATGTTCCCCTTCCTGTGTCCATGTGTTCTCATTGTTCAATTCCCACCTATGAGTGAGAACATGCAGTGTTTGGTTTTTTTGTCCTTGCGATAGTTTGCTGAGAATTATGGTTTCCAGCTTCATCCATGTCCCTACAAAGGACATGAACTCATCATTTTTTATGGCTGCATAGTATTCCATGGTGTATATGTGCCACATTTTCTTAATCCAGTCTATCATTGTTGGACATTTGGGTTGATTCCAAGTCTTAAATGGCTTAGGAAGAAATGGTTTCCCACAGCGTGGACAGTCCCCACCAGTATCTTCAAGCTTACCCCTTATGCATTTCCCTCTCTGTGTTTTATTCATGTTTAATCTTTTTCAGCTTTAGCCCATAGGCTAGAGAGCTAGTAGTAGTAGTATGGGACCTCCAATGGACTGATTCTTTCCTGAGCTTGGAAACTCTAAACCATTCCCTACTTTTCCCTAGCTAATATGTACCCATCTTTCAGGTCTTAAATAAGATGTCATCTCCTTGACCACTGCCAAACACTAGGCAAGGTTCTACAGCATCTTTTGCATACCCTTTATAATACCTATAACACATAAGTATCTACTTAATGTCTGTATTCTCTGCTATATTATAAACTCCATGAGGGCAGAAATCAAATCTATTTTATTTCTATATTCCTAACTGATCACAGGCCAGGTTGATATTAAATGCTAAAAAGTATTAAATGAATGAATAAACAATAAATGACTTTTTCCCCATCATCTACTGTATGACTATTATAAACATTTTGAGATTAAGCAAATGCATTCCCCAAATCTGGGCTGGTTCTTGGCATTACTGGATTAGAGTTCTAACTATATACTGTGGACAGATATAAGGCCCACCTTTCCCCAAATATCTTACCTGGTAACCTGTCATAACTTCTTTTTCTTGCTATTTGTTCTAAAACTGCCCTGCCTCTACCCACACTCACCTGGCTTCCATAATTAAAGATTAAAAATATTAATTGCCTTCCAAAAAACCAGTGTTAAGTGCATGTCATTTTTTTTTCCTGGGGACAGAGTACTACTTCCCTTTCTTTGGCCAATTGGAAGGATTATATTATCAGATTTGCTAATTGCTGAACTACTATCCCTCAGAAGATGAGAGAAAGAACACACAGCTATTAGTAAGGGCTGTGGTCTTCACCTAGAATAATAGGGCACCCTCTAATCTTTGCTACTTTGGAATATGAAGAAAATTGTTCATCAGAAAGAGAGATGACACTGAAGAATTTTCCTCCTCCACAATTTTGTGGAAGTAGTCCAAATGTGTTTAAAATTGATAGGTATTTTTGGGATAATCCTTTTAACCTGGAAAAACAGAGTGGTTCCAAGATATTGAACCCATATGCTAGCTTCGCTGATATCTGTTGTTCCGTGTCACTGGCCAAGTAAATGCAGAATGAATGAGATTAACTCCGCAGGTGTAAATGGTGCCCAATTCTATGACATAGGTTGGAGGGAACCCAAACACAGGCCTTAAGCTACATACTAAAATCAAGGCAGAATTAGCAGAGTTACTTGCACATATATTTGACTTGAAAAAAAGTAGAGAGGAAAAAAAGGCAGTAAATTAAATATAATGATCTTGATAGTTACACTAAAAGTAATAGAAGGGGAAAAGGCACATAAATGTATATAAGCTAACCACATTATATCAGTTCTGCGGTGCTCCCCTTCTCCACATTTTTCATCCGTGAAATTGGAATGCGTGGTACAATTCATGTTTTGTCCAATTTAATTAGAAACACGTTTTCTTTCTTAGTAGTACACATAATGGTGTGCCTTTTAATCAACGACATCTTAGATTGATGAAATAGAGTATTTGCTTATAAATATACGCTGATAGCATGGGCTCATTACCACATTTTCAAATCGCGTTACAATTGGCCAACTTTTGTATTTGGCAGACTTTCTGCATAAGTTATAGCCTGAGAAAGAGATGAGAAATTTACATAATAGGTATGTCTGATGGAGAATTATAAAATGCCAAAAACCTCCATGGATAGCAACAACCTAGAAAAGGATAATAAACTTTGCAGCATCAATTATCATTGCATAGGTTAGTAAAGACCCTGTATGCTACAGAAACAAGTCATTGAAGAGACAGAGATAGAGACAGAGACAGATGGAAGTTGAGATATGGGTTTGGGTTGGAAGGAAGAGAGGTGGGAGGGGAGAGACATGCAAAGAGTGAAGGAGAAAGAGAGTGAAGAAGAGAGAAAAAACACATGATTTGCAGATATGTAAAAGCACAAATATACTTTTCTTCTATTTAAAGATGATAGGAATATCTATGTCGTTAGGCAGAAGAAATTCAACACTTTTTTTTAACTGAGAACTTTCTTTTTAAAGTTTACATTGAGTGATAATGTAATTAGTTGAGTGGGAAAATGCCAAATGAAAATGAAAATTCTAAGACATGCTATATATGAATGTCTTGGGAAATTCTTGCAGATTCCTTTTTCGTCTCAAGCCGTGTATGTCAGTGAATTGTGCCTAAAGAAAAAACTATCAAACTGGTGGCACCAAAAATAATCAAAATATGTCCAGTGGTGCTTGAGAATTTCAGAGGAAGGAAGAAGAGCTTTTTGTTTAAAAAAATAAGTTTTGAAAAAAACTAATCTTTTGATGAACACAAAACAAGAACTATTCACCAAAAAAATCCTTCTATACTGCGATACCACAAATGTTCCTTACAATGCAGTGTAACATTACAAGTTACTATTATTCAAAAGTCACTTTCAGTAAGGTATACTATAGCTGACAAATGGCTTACCCTAGTAGATTCTTGGTTATTTGTGTATATTTTTTTCTGAAAAACAATGGCGAGTTTCTTAAAATATTTGTTTCACATACTGCAGAAAGCTCCAGAATCGGGCAGAGGAATTGAGTCCAGGGGAAAACAACTTGCTTTTTTCCAGTCAGATTAGATTAAACACTGATTATAAGCCTTAAAAAAAATAAAGACTCTGTTCGGGATGCAGAACACCAAGAAGAGAATGGTGGCACCTGCTGTCCATTATCCCTAATGTCCTCCCTTTGGTTGCAATGCATGATACTCCAATGCATGAGGCATGGTCTTTGCCTCACTGTGCATGTGGCTGGTGACTGCTTTGCTGGCCATAACTCCTGTTGGACCATGGATCAGCTGCTTGCTTGCAGTTCATTTACTTTTTTCTGTTTTTCAAATTAGCAACATCACCCTGTATGGATATCACTTCCTGACCAGGAGAGCAGGATTCCATTTTTGTATATACTTGTAACCCTAATTTTTCTCACTGGAAGAATGGGCTTCTCGTCATATCACATATTCATCTCCCAGAATGTTTTAGGTAGGAAATGAGGGGTCAGGTGTGATGGCTCATGCCTATAATCCCAGGACTTTGGGAGGCCGAGGTGGGAGCTTTGCTTGAGCCCAGGAGTTCAAGACCAGCCTGGGCAACATGGTGAAACCCTGTCTCTATAAAATATACAAAAGTTAGCCAGGTGTGGTGGCACACGCCTGTAGTCCCACCTACTCGGGAGGTTGAGTTGAGAGGATCACCTGAGCCTGTGAGGTCAAGGCTGCAGTCAGCCATGATTGTATCACTACACTTCAGCCTAGGGAAGATGGGAGGATTACTTCTCATTGGCTTCTTCACTACTAAGTGTTATATAAGTACTAAGTATACTTATATAAGTGTGCTAAGTATTATAATAACATTTTTTAGAAGTGAAGCCCTTAATTTTATTTGTTGTTTCAATTGATTTATCTCGCCCAGTGAAACAAAGTTTAGGAATATTAGCAAATAAAATATTCTTTGTAATCAGCCTTTGTCAACCAATATAAGGTTGTTACTTTGTTTTTTTTTTAATCAAAATGCTTGTTATCCATAATAGTTTGGTATATATGTTCTCTTTTTCTCATGTTTATCAAAGACATAACACCAAAAAAAGTTTTAAAATCCCCTATACAGATGCAAACTTTAAATTTCAAATGTGTTAGCATCAATAAAGGAATAAATACCATCATTAAATTTTGTAATTTAAGTTTTTTATTCCAACAAGATGCTTAGTACAAATGTTAAAGAAAAAAACAATTTAATATGGTGGCTACTTTTGTTTTGTTTTGTTTTGTTTTGTTTTTTGAGACAGAGTCTCGCTCTGTTGCCCAGGCTGGAGTGCAGTGGCGCAATCTCGGCTCACTGCAAGCTCTGCCTCCCGGGTTCATGCCATTCTCCTGCCTCAGCCTCCCGAGTAGCTGGGACTACAGGTGCCTGCCACCACGCCCGGCTAATTTTTTATGTATTTTTAGTAGAGACGGGGTTTCACCGTGTTTGCCAGGATGGTCTCCATCTCCTGACCTCGTGATCCACCCTCCTCGGCCTCCCAAAGTGCTGGGATTACAGGCGTGAGCCACCGCGCCCGGCCCATGCGTGGCTACTTCTTATAAGAAGGAAGAAAGATCACACAGAGCTTTTTAGAAAAATTAATTTTAATGGCAATTAGCCCCAAATAGTAGTTAATTCAGATGAAATTGTTTTGACATCACTTTTCAACTTGCTAGGCTAACATAATAGGGGCCAGCTTACCGTCAGTCAACTTTTGGAATTTTACTGGAAAACTCTGGAAACTAACCTAGCCCTTGGATTGTAACATCACCTGTATATTAGCCTCCAGGATTTGCTGAGCTAATGTCTCAGCAGACCTACTCTGTAAACTGTTACTTTTCCATTGCTGAAGACTAATGTTCTTGGCCAGCACCATATGATATAGATTAATGATTAGACTCAGCATCCTCTAACTACCGTATATGTAACACAGCCCTTAGTTGGCAAATCCTGCTTTTGACAATTGAAAACATAAACATAACAAATAGGATAATAATACACACAAATCAATTAAATTGATTTGAGCTTGCAAAGTTGATGCATCATTTAGTTTTTCATACAGATATCCTTAATCAGACAGTGCAAGAGCATCTTCTGGTTCCCAGTGAACTTTTTCTTAGAGCACTGAATCTCAAATATACTTTAGCACTACATTCATTTTAATAGTCATTGATGATGCTTGGATTTAAAGAGTGCGAGCATTCAGTTGTAATGTTCTCAGTAATTTAAAAGGGATTTGCGATTTTTGCTTTTGAAAGGAGGAAAGGAATTTATCAGAGCTGTCACAAATCTTTCATACCCTGATACCCTACCCACTTCCCTTCTCCAATCCACAGATCTGTTATTAAATTCTACTACATAGGAAATATGAATAGTCATTGAAACTGTTTCACTGCCAAGATTTGAAAGCTGATGCTCTGAGAAATGTTCCCAGTGTATATTAAATGAACACCAAACTCCCTGGCAATAAGAGGACTGATATGAGACTATGACACAGTTAAATTTAGAAACAGGGTTAAAAATAGTGCCACGGTTTTCATTTCGAGGTCACTCACAGACACATTCTCAGAGTCCTGTGGATTCTATCACAGTCAGATTTCATTTCACTTATGGGGTTGTCTCTTATCTATTCAGACTATTATGAATTTTGAAGATAAATTTTTAAAAACTAATATTTATTAAGCATCTACTGTATTCCTGAGATTGTGCTAAATGTTTTCTTTGTATCTAATAATAACAATAACAATATAAGAATAATAAAATTTGCTGATATGTTTTGGACACTGGAGAAAGACAATATGCAAAGTGATTTCCATTCCTAGTTATACTTTCTCTCACCAAAAGCTTGTGAGTTTTGCAAATAAAGAAATTCATGTTTACAGAGGTTCAGTAACTTGTTGAAAGTGGCTGACACTTTTACTAAATGGCAGAGCAAGATTTGAATATCAGTTTCTTTGTCTCCAAAGCCCATATCCTCAAAAGAATGTCAGTACAAACATTTTGGAACCAGATTGTGTCTCAATGCCTTCATTTGTGAAATGCTGATAGCAATAATACCTACACCAATAGATTGTTGTCAAAATATAATTCTGGAATACACTTAAATTTCATAGTGCTAGTGTCTGGCACATGGTAAACATCCAAGAAGCATTAGCTGTTAGTATTTTTGTTTAATGACAAAAATAATTATTAGGTTATTGTATTTCAAAAGATAGTGATATTTTCTTTAAGTTCTTATTTTATGATTACATAGCACTAAAAAAAATTATAAAAATATTTTATGTCATTCTAACTTCCAAATACTACTTTAAAGTAGTAATATTTGCTACTTCCAATTAGCAAAGTTTGGAATATTTCTGCAAATATTATTTAATTTAATATTTCTTGGATCTATGGCCTGTTGTCTAAGATCAACATGTCATAGATAAGAACATATCAAAAGCAACATCCACTAAAAGCTTTGCCATTTGATCCTCAAAACACTATTTCATTTTCAAAATTTATTCTCATTCTAAAGAAAAGGGGAAGTTAACTTAAGGCATCCTGCCAAACTCTGCTGTTAGTTCCTTCCATGCAGATAATATTCTTGAAGTTAACACAATACTGTATTTTTAAAGTTATCCCTAAAATCCATTTCTTTCATAACCTTAAGGGGAAATTATTTCAATCTTTAAGACTTCAGTCTGTTTATTTGTTATTTATACATTTTCTAGTAGCAGCCAGACAAAAGGCATTCTAGCAGAATGGCTGACATTAACATGGCTAAGTTTTCAACAACGTCTTGGTAAAACATCTTTTAAGGCTGAGATCATTCTCAATTTAAAACAACGATAACAATATATAATACTTGCTATTCCCTTCTCCAGACTTTTGTTTCCCAGTAGAGCTGACTGCTTAGCAATAGCTGACTACTCTTGCTGAAGTGTTTTTGTCACTGACATCACTTAGCCACTTAAAATACCAGTTTTAATCCAACCTTACAATTAGTAGAAGGCTTTTGAAGTGCACCGCAATGTTAGCAAGACATTCCAGCAGGAGGTGGTTTCTTTTACTCTGCTAAGTCAGGAAAAGTGACCTGTTAATACTACTTTTTAGTGATGGATGTGTTTCAAAGAGGTCAACACTAAATGAATTATTCAATCAACACTAGTTGTCTTTAAAATAGTAAGGTTGGTGCTATAGTACAGTGTAGAAATCCTCAGTGCTGTTCAGCAAATATTTCTGGTCTTTGGCTACCTACTAGAATTTTTCTCTCCTGGTTTATTTTTTTGTTTGTTTGGTTTACGTAGGTGAGTCGATATAACTAGTTCTGACCCATGGAGTCATGAACAAAAGTAACATGGGTCACTCCTGGGCCTTAGCATTAAACTGTCGGAGTAAGATCCCTCATGAACTGCCTTTCCGGCTTCCACAGTGATTGACAATACTCTAGATTGTGCGTATACTATCCATCAGCCTGGTTTCTCAAAAACACTGAACAGCAAGACCCTCAAGCGATCTGCACTGGAAATATAGAGTGAACAAAACAACAAACGTTTGTGCTATCCACTGAGACTTTCAGGGTTGTTTGTTACCACAGCATAACCAACCCTATCCTGGATGACGCACACAACAAGAATTACAAATGAAAAATTTGTGACAATTCAAAAAATAAATTGGAAAATGTAAACTGACACTTAAAAATTACTTTTATAGTCTTGAATGGCATATCTATCCTTGTCGGGAATGGGCTATCAATTTTGTTTCATAGAAATTTAGATTCTAAAATTGGATCCATGATTTACGAAGTCAATACTTGAGTAGTCACTACGAAGCAAGCACTCACAATGAATGCAATATCTTAAACTTTATTTTTAAAACGTGTTTAACTTCATTTTAAATATACATGTAATTATAACTAAATTTCTGAGAGTGAAGAACTAGAATGAATTGTTTTGTAAATGAGTTATAACTTATGTGCACTGAAATTAGTATTTCTTTAGATTATTCATTTTCATCTTGTAATTCAAGATGGATTAAAGACTTAAATGTTAGACCTAAAACCATAAAAACCCTAGAAGAAAACCTAGGCATTACCATTCAGGACATAGGCATGGGGGTGAGAACTGTTATATTGTCATAATTTAAAAAGAAACAATAGAGAAAAATTACTCTTCATCTGTGCAAAATTCTTTCTCTGACAGGGACACCAAGTTATGGTTGCTCTCCTTGCTTTAATCAGAAATGTACTTCCTTCAAACTTCTTCATTTTGTGCAATAATCCATTTGTGTACTATCATTCATCACATAACTAAATATTGCATGAATTCTTTTGTATTTTTACTATGTGGTACCTCCCAAGGATGATGAGTTACCTATGTTTGAACTTTACTATGAAAAGCAGTACTTAAAAATGTTTCTTAATATTTTCTAATTGTCATCTGATTCTACAAGTGGAGAAGACCCAGATGAGCCTATTACTACTTGCCAAATTTTAGTGTATTTCAAACTACTTCCCATTTATTTTCTACTTTCCACACCTAAGGACACAAATATTCATAGCCACTCAATAGTGATGTCGTAGTCATTTTGAGCTGCTATAACTAATACCGTAGGCTGGGTGGCTTGAACAGCAAACATTTATTTCTCACAGTTCTGGAGACTGAGAAGTGCAAGATCAAGATGCAGGCTGATTCAGATCCTGGTGAGAACCCTTTTTCTGCTGTATTTCCACATGGCAGAGAGAAAGGGATCATCTCTCTCTTGCCTTTTTTTTTTTTGTAAATATGTGTAAGGACACCAATCCCATTATGAGGTCTCCACCCTCATGATCTAATTACCTCCCAAAGCCTCACCTCTTAATGCCATGACAATGAGGATTACAGCTTCAACATGAAAATTTGCTGAGGATTGGGGGGAGGTAGTATAACATAAGGCTTTCACTTCTAATCCTGCATCATTTTCATTAAAACATTCAAAAAGTAAACAATGACCAACTTTCAAAACCTGTAGCTCATAATGATGCACAATCATGTTATGTACAGAAAAGAACCTATGATTGTTAATTCTAAAAGAACTCATAATCATTAATTTTATAGTTTTATAAGTCCTATTGATTTAGGCAGTATTTTCATAATGACCTTTACTAATACTTGCCCTCAGAAAATATTTTTTAAATATTTAATTTTTCTCTCTCATCCAAGTAATACATGATTTTTTTTGTCTGCAAAGTGGCATAACATAAAATGTATTAATGGATTTTGCAAATTACTATAACCCATAGTAAGGTACACACTATGAAGCAAACAATCTTTTGGTTGTTAAGAAATGTGCTGGGCACAGTCACTCATGCCTGTAATCCCAGCACTTTGGGAGGCCAAGGTGGGCAGATTACCTGACCTCAGGATTTCGAGACCAGTCTGGGCAACAGGGTGAAAACCTGTCTCTGCTAAAAAAATACAAAAAAAAATTATCTGGGCATGGCAGTGTGTGCCTATAATCCCAGCTGCTGGGGAGGCTGAGGCAGGAGAATCACTGGAACCCAGGAAGGTGGAGGGTGCTGTATGCTGAGATCGCGCCACTGAGACTCGGTCTTCAAAAAAAAAGAAAAAAAAAAGAAATGTAGTGACTTCATCTTGGATGACTTAACCTAAGTTGTGTGAAATTTATTTATTTAACAACTGAGGCCGGGCGCAGTGGCTCACGCCTGTAATTCCAACACTTTGAGAGGCCAAGGTGGGTGGATCATCTGAGGTTGGGAGTAGGAGACCAGCCTGGCCAACATGGTGAAACCCCATCTCTACTAAAAATACAAAAATTAGCTGGTTGTGGTGGCGGGTGCCTGTAATCCCAGCTATTTGGGAGGCTGAGGCAGGAGAATTGCTTGAACCCGGGAGGTGGAGGTTGCAGTGAGCCGAGATCATCCCACTGCACTCCACCCTGGGCAACAGAGAGACTCTGTCTCAAAACAAAAAACAAACAAACAAACAAAAAACAACTGAAATTTGAAGTAAGGTATCAAAATTTAGTTTTTTCATGGAAGGGTAAACAGTGATTTCTTTCAGAGTATGTGTCTTACTTTGATTAAAATTCTTCTGTTATGCTGCACAGATGAAAGTAACAACTGTTTTTGTTTTAAATGATAACACTTGATGCTAAAACTGAGCCTAGAAGATTAGATACAGATTTCAAAGGATAGTACACATCTGTGCACTAATGTTGGTTCTTAAACCTCCATACCCCAAGGTCATATGGAAGTACCAGTTTCTATATTCTGTTCATTGTTGTGTGAAAAAACAGATTGGCAGTGGCTATTAATATTTCTACAGTTTGTTCCTATGCAAATTTAAAAGCATATGCTAACTACAACACAAATGTTATGTTGGAATATTGACTCATTTCTGCTTTTACCTGATTATTTAAAAAAACCCACCCACCTATCCACCTTTATTAGTTTTTAGTATACTAAAATAATCTGTGTGTATAAGAAATGATACCTTATACATATTCAGTTATCACCTATTTAGGATTTTAGAAAGTTGAAGCAATGTAGACAGTCCACAATTATTTAAAATAAAAATCTTGTCATATGTTTTAAGTAGGGTGAAGTTAAATTTTATTTATATAGCATATGCCAAATATGACAAAATGAAGCAATTCAGAAAGGTCCAAGATAATCAGCCATGCATTCCAACATTTTCCTCAGTAATCTTCAAAATAGAGAATCTATGTATAAATAGTCATAAGGTGGTCATTAAGCCATGTATTTTAAATAATTTTGAGGTGGCTTATAGTAAAAGCATAGGGAGGGAATGCAAGACCATTAGTCCAAAATTAAGAAAGAAAAATCAAATTGTAAAAGATTAAAAGGGGAAATTAAGCAGAAAAATATCTATGAAATAACTTCCAATTAATTTCCTATCTGAAGAAAAAAGGCTTGAATATCAACTAAAAGACTGACAAATAAATGTATATTTATGTTTGAAGTTTAAAGGATATTCTTGTTTATGTATATATAATATTTTGTAATTTCCATGTTTTTCAAAAATTTCAGTCAACCAACCAATAAGATCCCAATTGTGTAAGAACAAGAGGGTAACCGATGCATTGAGAAGTGGTGAGGGGGGAAAATAGTAGCATAAAACTTAGTTCTAAGCAGAAGTGAATACACCATGTAGCTCATAAAGCTTACGCTTCAAAGCCCTGAACTTTGATGAGGCTCTTCCACAGCCTTGTAACTAATTTTGTATTCATAATTTTGAAGTTTTATTTTCCTAAACACAGCTCCCCAAATTATAAAGACTTGAGGTTTCATTAAGCTAAGACTGGCTTCTGGCCTGTCAAGAAAAAATGTGGTTGATCATAGAACTCTCAGTGCTTAATAATAGGAAAATCCCCAGTTCATAATAATGAACATTTTTCTAGTTGATGTTCTCATAGAGAAATTTAATATTAGATGCTTTATGTGAAAAAGATTGAGCATTATAACAAAGTATAGACCCTTGTCAATGATGTTACAATATGACAATATATCACAGAAAAATGCAGCATTATTTTCCATACAGCGTGTCTTTATATAAGCAGCAAGGGCATGCTATTAAACCATATTTCACAAAGTGTTTTTTTTCTTTTTCAGGATGTCACAAAGGGACTCTGGAATCGGGTTTACCAGGAAAGTTGGTTATGGGGCAGAGGGTGGAAAAAAGTAATAGCAAATGTCAGGGGGACAAGAGGATACAGTAGAAGGAGATGAGCTAAATGAACAATCCAGCCACAGTAGAGTAGAGAGATGAACCACCTTGTGGAACTGCAAGATTCAACAATTTGTGTAGAATTTTCCATTGTCATCATGCATAAAATTAGAGCAATAAAATTAAAGCATTATTAGTAATGAGGAAACTGGATTTTCGATGCGGCTAACTGACAAGATGATATGAAGGTAATTGGTCATGAGAATGTTTAGCATTAGTAATGGAGTGTCTATTTTCAAAATTGCCTTATCATAATTAAACAACAAAAAGTCACTGTGTTTCACTGCAGAACATTTTTACATAGCATATTAAAGAAAAAATAACCATTTCCAATGAAGTATGGATATTATTTCTCAGTAATAAGCGTTAAAACCAGGATTTGTTCATTGCCTTATCACTGGCACCAGCATATACCAGACTCTGAGTAAATATTTTTTAGTGAATAAAAAATTCACATCTAACAGCCATGAAACTCTAGAAAAATGTATGATATTGCAATTTTGTTGTGAAGGGTACAATATAGGTATAGATATACTTATTAATCACAGTAATTATTAGAAAGAACCCAATATGCAATAAGCTATATATACATAGTAAAGAATCACAACTTCATATTATAAATTTAATACATTGCAAACTATTAGCTAATCAAAATAACCATGAATTATACAATGCAAATGTAAATTACAAAATCAATAGTTTTTTTAAAGATTACTTGTGGGGGGGGATTTTTTTTTTTTTTTTTTAGATGGAGTTTCGCTCTTTTTGCCCAGGCTGGAGTCCAATGGTGCAATCTTGGCCCACTGCAACCTCCACCTCCTGGGTTTAAGCGATTCTCCTGCCTCAGCCTCCCAAGTAGCTGGGATTACAGGCATGCGCCACTATGCCCGGCTAATTTTGTATTTTTAATAGAGACGGG
Source organism: Homo sapiens (assembly GCF_000001405.40). NCBI lineage: Eukaryota > Metazoa > Chordata > Mammalia > Primates > Hominidae > Homo > Homo sapiens. The sequence continues at coordinate 81,796,010 of NC_000003.12, forward strand.
GTTTCACCATGTTTGTCAGGCTGGTCTCGAACTCCTGACCTCAGTTGATCTGCCTGCCTTGGCCTCCCGAAGTGCTGGGATAACAGGCATGAGCCACCGCACCCCGCTGGGAATGATTTTGACTATTTATATCACTTTCAAAAGCTGTCCAAGAAAGTTTATCTGCCTTTACTTTCTCATATAGCAAGTAGAAATATTTAGATATCCACTAGACTCTATAAAAACACTAAAATTTGGGACAACTTTTTTTTTATTATTCTTATACTTTAAGTTTTAGGGTACATGTGCACAATGTGCAGGTTTGTTACATATGTATACATGTGCCATGTTGGTGTGCTGCACCCATTAACTCGTCATTTAGCATTAAGTATATCTCCTAATGCTATCCCTCCCCCCTCCCCCCTCCCCCCACCCCACAACAGTCCCCGGAGTGTGATGTTCCCCTTCCTGTGTCCATGTGTTCTCATTGTTCAATTCCCACCTATAAGTGAGAACATTCAGTGTTTGTTTTTTTTGTCCTTGCGATAGTTTGCAGAGAATGATTGTTTCCAGTTTCAACCATGTCCCTACAAAGGACATGAACTCATCTTTTATGGCTGCATAGTATTCCATGGTGTATATGTGCCACATTTTCTTAATCCAGTCTATCGTTGTTGGACATTTGGTTTGGTTCCAAGTCTTTGCTATTGTGAATAGTGATGCAATAAACATACGTGTGCATGTGTCTTTATAGCAGCATGATTTACAATCCTTTGGGTATATACCCAGTAATGGGATGGCTGGGTCAAATGGTATTTCTAGTTCTAGATCCCTGAGGAATCGCCACACTGACTTCCACAATGGTTGAACTAGTTACAGTCCCACCAACAGTGTAAAAGTGTTCCTATTTCTCCACAGCCTCTCTAGCACCTGTTGTTTCCTGACTTTTTAATGATCGCCATTCTAACTGGTGTGAGATGGTATCTCATTGTGGTTTTGATTTGCATTTCTCTGATGGCCAGTGATGATGAACATTTTTTCATGTGTTTTTTTTGGCTGCATAAATGTCTTCTTTTGAGAAGTGTCTGTTCATGTTCTTCGCCCACTTTTTGATGGGGTTGTTTGTTTTTTTCTTGTAAATTTGTTTGAGTTCATTGTAGATTCTGGATATTAGCCCTTTGTCAGATGAGTAGGTTGCAAAAATTTTCTCCCATTTTGTAGGTTGCCTATTCACTCTGATGGTAGTTTCTTTTGCTGTGCAGAAGCTTTTTAGTTTAATTAGATCCCATTTGACAATTTTGGCTTTTGTTGCCATTGCTTTTGGTGTTTTAGACATGAAGTCCTTGCCCATGCCTATGTCCTGAATAGTATTGCCTAGGTTTTCTTCTAGGGTTTTTATGGTTTTAGGTTTAACATGTAAGTCTTTAATCCATCTTGAATTAATTTTGGTATAAGGTGCAAGGAAGGGATCCAGTTTTGGCTTTCTGCATATGGCTAGCCAGTTTTCCCAGCACCATTTATTAAATAGGGAATCCTTTCCCCATTGTTTGTTTTTGTCAGGTTTGTCAAAGGATCAAATGGTTGTAGATACGTGGCATTATTTCTGAGGGCTCTGTTCTGTTCCATTGATCTATATCTCTGTTTTGGTACCAATACCATGCTGTTTTGGTTACTGTAGCCTTGTAGTATAGTTTGAAGTCAGGTAGCATGATGCCTCTGGCTTTGTTCTTTTGGCTTAGGATTGACTTGGTGATGTGGGCTCTTTTTTGGTTCCATATGAACTTTAAAGTAGTTTTTTCCAATTCTGTGAAGAAAGTCATTGGTAGCTTGATGGGGATGGCATTGAATCTATAAATTACCTTGGGCAGTATGGCCATTTTCATGATATTGATTCTTCCTACCTATGAGCATGGAATGTTCTTCCATTTGTTTGTATCCTCTTTTATTCCATTGAGCAGTGGTTTGTAGTTCTCCTTGAAGAGGTCCTTCACATACCTTGTAAGTTGGATTCCTAAGTATTTTATTCTCTTTGAAGCAATTTTGAATGGGAGTTCACTCATGATTTGGCTCTCTGTTTGTCTGTTATTGGTGTATAAGAATGCTTGTGATTTTTGTACATTGATTTTGTATCCTGAGACTGCTGAAGTTGCCTATCAGTTTAAGGAGATTTTGGGCTGAGACAATGGGGTTTTCTAAAGATACAATCATGTCATCTGCAAACAGGGACACGTTTTATGGACTTAACTATTGATGTATTTAAGCCTTCATGATGTATTCATTTGGGAGACTGGAGAAATCTTTCTTGAGGATGTTAATGTTCCTTTTACTTTGTACCTCTAGACTCCCGAAGAAAAGCCTCGAAGGGTAAAAGAACTTAGAAAAGAACTAAAATGACTTCTTCTGAAGTGTGTGTGGAAAGTAGAAACATAATGGCACAATCATATTGTGGCAATAATTGCTATGTCTGTGCTCATTGTATGGTTTTGTTAATTTAAGCATTCCCTGAAACAGAGCTAGTTTCTTATCCTCTATTCTCTTGCTGGGTCCTTGTTTAGTGTCAGCAGCTTGGAACTCTATTTTAGACATTATGAAATAAATTAAATGTAGAGTTATTTAGAATGAATCAGTGGAGAAATCAGAGACTTTTAGTTATGATAATTAGTTCCTATTTAAAACTTTTATACTCTAAGGACTTACTCTTCCAGCCACCCCTTTTCTTTCAGGGCTGGAGAAAACCTCTAGATGATATACCGAAAAAAAGAAAAAATATATAAAGTATTTTTACTCATTTATATATTCCTTTTACCGATTAAAACATTTAAGATACAAACATTTTTTTTAAGTGTGAAAAACAGATTCATTAATTACCACCTGGGTCAGCCATTTGAACCTTTGAATTTAGTCACCTTACAACTGAATTTACATTTTACCTAAAGGACTTGTACATCTGCAGCAGTTATCTGACTATACTTTTCTAATTTTGAGTTATAGCAAATGACATATCTTTAAGTTAAATAAGTAGAGCCTGTCTATTCTTGTTCATCTTGAAAATTAAAACTTTGGAACATATTTTATAATGGAATTCTAATTCACATTATTTTAGGGAAAATTATAGATGTTTGGAAACAAGTATATGCAATAACAAGAGGATTTGCTATATTTGACACAAAATGTTTCTAGCCTGAATCAGAAATAGAGCTACAAGTGCATCATTCTGTATATTATTGGGAGAGAATTGGTGAATTTTGAAGTGCAAGATCAGACAAAGAAAATTAAAGAAAATTATCAGCTAAAGTAAAGTACTACTTAGGTGCAAGGAAAGGACATAAAAACACAAGAAAAAGCATAGATAGGGCAGGAAGTGCACATGTTAGAAATAATCTAGGGGCTAAGAATAGGTACTTTCCTCAAGCAAATACAGAATTAATCAAAAGAATGACATCTAATTACAAGAAAGTCCTGGGCTAACAAATATAGAGGCCTAAGAAAAATAAGAAAATTAACATTAATCTGAAAGGGTTAACCTCGGCCATGATTATCTTAGAAATTGAAATGGAAGTGTTTCTTCCTGGCCATAATGAATCAGCCCCAAAGTCCGAAGCTGTTCAGGACCAAGGACAAAGGCAATTCAATACAGCCACGTAGATTTTCTCATCCCAGTTGTTGGAGAATCATGTGTAATTATACAGCTGGAAATGACTGCAGAAGCCATCCAGGCCAACTCCTTTATTTTATAGATAAGAAAACTGAGGCACAGGAGTATCACTAACTTCTCCAGTCATCCTCTTAGTAAGTAGTAAATTTGAGCTTCGAATCAAAGGCCGCGGATACCTAGCACAGCATTCTCCAAGTTACACAAATATATAGAATCACATGCACAGAAGATTTTGAGTGATTGTTTTCATATTAAAAAGGTGATTCGTATTTGACATTTGTATATGTATTTCTGTGTGTGTGTGTGTGTTCATGTTAATAACTTAAAGGCAAAGCAGGACATTTTTCTAAATAGTATGCTCTAATCACAGTTGATCAGATTGTTTCACACCAAATGGACTCTTCCTAATTTTGGTATGTGTATTTAGAAATGGTCAGAAGAAAGCTGTCCGAGTTCAAAATGTCTGCTCAGACCTGTTTTGCATTTGTGTAGTAATATTTAGCCTAGTATCATGGTCTTTTGAAAATGTTTTAATAATTGCTTATTATTTAAATTTTTATTCTGCAGTTGTCTTGTCTAATGTCTGAGGACTTTTCCATATTTGTCTTTGTGTGTGTCTGATTTTGTGTTTTTGTATTATTGTCAATTTCAAAATGTAAATAGTTTGCTAAATTGATTTTTTTCTTTTGAAGACTTGGTCAAGGAGGATTAGAATTTATACTAATTAACTGACTGCTGAGATTTTATGGGAAAGAATCACTCAGGGAAAAGTTGTATTGCTATTAAAACTATTTTGTCTACTTTTAGGCAGAGATATCAAGAGGAACTAAAATAAAGTTTAAGTGATAGCAGAAAATCAGAGGCTAATTTTATGATGTATATAGTCACCCCAAGAGTAAACCAAATTAGAAATTTAAAGATGAATCCTAATATGAAAACATTTTCTTAAAAAAATCTTTGACCTGCCTAGGGAATATCACAACTTCTTGATATAGTGAAAAGATTATGAACTCTGGAGTCTGAACGCAAGATTGCATTGGGAAGATTTCTTAGACTCTGTCAGCCTCAGTTTCTCCCATTCAAAAATAGGGATATTCTGTTGGACAGCATTTATCTCACATGTAGACATATCAGTCTTTCCTGATGCAGACCATGACACTTACTGAAAATGGTAAGTTTCTGTCCTGCCCTCTATATGTCCTCCCAGAGCCAGCTGGCAACATTAGATCCAGTCCTTCAAGGTCTTTGGCCTTGATCCTATGTACTATGAACTCTGGTGCAAGGTAAGAGAGATCTATGAAGATGTAAGATCCAGAATTCCCAATCACCCATCTGCCCAGCCTGAGCTGTTGTGGTGATAAACTTCAGGAGCCAGGTGAATAAGTCTTACTTTAGACATAGGTTTCCTCAGAAAACAATCTGGTGAACTCTTAGGGAGTTTAAGATCTATTCTTGGACCGAATGTTGGCCAAAGGTTTCTACCTGTTTCTCCATGAATCTCTAATTTCTTTTCTTTTCTTTTTCTTTTTTTTTCTTTTTTTTTTTTTTTTTTTTGAGACAGAGTCTCACTCTGTTGCCCAGGCTGGAGTGCAGTGGTGGTCTCGGCTCACTGCAATCTCCCCCTCCCACGTTAAAGTGATTCTCGTAGCTCAGCCTCCTGAGTAGCTGGGACTACAGGTGTCCACCATCATGCCCGCTTAATTTTTGTATGTTTTTAGTAGAGATGGGGTTTCACCATGTTGGCCAGGCTGGTCTTGAACTCCTGATCTCAGGTGATCCACCTGCCTCGGCCTCCCAAAGTGCTGGGATTTAGAGTGTGAGCCACTGTGCCCAACCCTCTAATTTATTTCTTAATCCTTCAAATCTTGCTACTTCCTCCCATCTTGTTGTGGATTTTTGCAAGGGCGCTAGCTATTGAAAAGCACTTGGTTATTGACCAAAATACTTTCTTTCATTTTGCACTGGATACCCTTTGTATATTGTACTAAGTTGTTTCTATATTTCAAGCTATCACAATTTGGACCTGATCTACATACAGTTAATGAACACCATGTGGAAATCATACCCACTTTGCATAATATTTTTCCATACATAATAATAAAATTAAATGAACATTAATTCTTTTATAAAACCCCACCCACCCTTTCACTGATGAAAGGAAAATCAAGTAAACAACTTTAACGAGAAGGCAATAGTAGAATTTCTTTGTGGATTTTGTTATTTTCCTTTTTTTGTTTTGTCCAGATTTTAGCAGGACCATTGGATCGTTTGTACTCAGGTTAGTCTGCCTATTTGTGAGAGAGTATTCTTCACAAATGGGATGTAGTTATGCAAAAAGATGAGACCTGAATTTATACTTTGGCTTTAAAGTTGAAATGTTAGTTTACATTATATTTCGTAACTAGCTCAGAGAGAATTGGTGCATGCAAGTACAATGGAGCTTGGTTTCCTAATGTCAAAAAAACCTTCACTTTTCACATTCTTGTTCTTGACAGAACATATTTTCGTTTATTCATTCCACTAATAATCTATGAAATTAAGATATCTCCATCTCAAAAAAAAGAAAGAAATTAGAGATTCATGGAGAAACAGGTAGAAATCTTTGACAAAGAAATTATTTTCTGAAATCTTCATTAGAAGTTAATTCCTGAATTGATAATTGCTTTTGCATTTAAGAAAAACATAGTTTTAACTACAACAGATGCTCCCACATATATACATGAAATTCAAACAAAATTGTGAAAAAAAAATCTAGTTGAGTCTGAAAAAAAGCAAAAAGCAGCTGTTTAAAAACTGTACACCAGCACGAAGAAGAAGAAAAAGCTGTAGTATTTACGTTTGCTTCTACATATCATTGTCACCTATCAGTTGTTATCTTGAGATAATTCAGGATGAAAACTTTTGTGATTTTCTTTGCTTACAGATTGCATACCTTCTTAAGCACATTAAAGCTTCCCTGTCTCAGTTCTTTTCCTGAATTTCACAGCTGAAATTGTTAAAAGTTATTTTTTCCCTTCTACTTAGCTAAAATCTGCTTCTCCGAGCCTCTACCAATTGATGGAAGGTTAAAAAAAAAAAAAAGCCTCTACTCATTGATAGAAGGTAAAAAAAAAAAAAAAAAGTCTCTACCCATTGATAGAAGGTAAAAAAAAAAGTTCATAAATTCAGAAGTCAGTAAGACTGGGGACACAATGTTATTATCTCCAGTAATGTGATATTTTTAAGTTTTAGCTTCCTTATCTGTAAAACGGAAATAGTAGCAATTGTACTGTGCCTGAATGTGGAATGTAATAGGAGTTTTCTACATCCCAACTCATTCCCCTACTCCTTTTTTTTCCCTCCCTCCAGAAGTATCTGGTATCATTGAGGCGTCAAGATGGAAATAGTTGAATTAATGTATGTCAGCGTGTAAGTAAGCATTAAATTGCTACTATATCTAAATATACATGTTGAGGCCAGGCCCAGTGGCTCATGCCTGTGATTCCAGCAGTTTGGGAGGCTGAGGCAGGGGAATTGCTTGAGGCCAGGAGTTTGAGTCCAGCTTGGGCAACATAGCAAGACCCTGTCTCTACAAAAAAATTAAAAATGGCCAGGTGTGGTCCTTCACGCCTGTAATCCCACCACTTTTGGAGAATGAGGTAGGTGGATCACTTGAGGTCAGCAGTTCGACACCAGCCTGGCCAACATGGTGAAACCCTGTCTCCTAAAAATACAAAAATTAGCCAGGCATGGTGGCACATGCCTGTAATCCCAGCTACTCGGGAGGCTGACGCATGAGAATCGCTTGAACCTGGGAGGTGGAGGTTGCAGTGAGCCAAGATCTTAACTCTGTACTCCAGCCTGGGCAGCAGAGTGAGACTCTGTCTCAAAAATTAAAAATTAAAAAAATTTAAAAATAGCCATGCATGGTGGCATGTGCCTGTAGTTCCAGCTACTCAGGAGGCTGAGGCTGGAGGATCACTTGAGCCCAGGAAGTCAAGGCTGCAGTGAGCCATGATCATGCCACTGGACTCCAGCATAGGTGACAGAGTGAAACCTTATCTCAAAAATAAATAAATAAATAAATATGCATGTTGATTTGTGGTACATATTATAGTACATATGTTGTGAATTTAATTTAGAACTCAGTATGCTTCAAAAAGATCGTAAGAATTTTCCCTTAAATACTTCCTTGTCCTTCTGTTTCTTCTTTCTTTTTTTATAGCTACCCCTCTTAACTGTTTCTCCACTCTCTGTTCCCCATATCCAATCAGGTATCAATTCCTACTGACTCTATTCTAGTTTTGGTGCACATTTGAACCCATATTTTATTTTCCACTTCCAACTCTACCCCAGGCCCGCATTAACTCTTCCTTCCACTATAGCATTCCTTTCCCAACTAGTCTATTTGGCATGAGCTATGTCCTTTTTCATTCATTCTATAGACTCCATCTGGCTTATTCTTCCAAAGCGGAACTCTGATCAGAAAATTGCCTTGCTCAAATACTCTCAACAAGTTCACATTTCTTAGAAAATGAAGCCCAAACATCTTCTCTTGGAAATTAATACTTTTTATGACAAAGTCTACCACACTGCTTAACAAACTCTAATGCGCTGCCAATTTTGATACTTGCTGCTTTCCATCTGCACTTTCCCACTCTTGCCTCTGTGCAATGTTTTTGTCTTCGATTGTCTTTCCTTCTTTCTAGAATTTTTACCATCTTTAAATACAGATACCACCTACATATTAAGCCTCACTTGATGTCCTTAACTAAAATTGATCTTTCTCTTCTTTGTGATTCTACTGTCCATTGTGTCCATCTTGCAACATTCGTAATCTTTTGCCTAATTTATGTGAACATGTTTAATCTCCCCAACTCTATTTTAAACTTCTTGAGAACAGTCTTTCCATCTAGCACCTTAGCTATCAGAGTTTTGTACATGTAATACAGAATACTTTTTTAAAAAACTGGAAATACCATTGTGAGTTGGCAAAACAGAGTCTATTTCACAAAGGAGGACAGTCTTTGAGTTTGGGTGGAAGGAATTTAAGGAAATAATTTTCATGACAAGAGTAGGTATGATAGAAGGTAGTCATCCTGAGTGAAGATTTGTTTTGGGAGGAGAGTTAGGAAGTAAGTTTAAGTAACTTTAATAATGAAGTGTCATCGTAGAGATCTTGAAAAACAAAGAGTTTAAAAATGTATAAGATGGTGAAGCAGGAAGAACATTATGTCAGGAGACCTGGATTCCAGTCACAGTTTAATTTCTGATAGGTTATGAGACTTCAGTAATGACTTCTATGGGCCTCAGTTGATTCTGAGTAAAATTAGCAGATAAAACTCAATGATTTCCAGTCTATTCTAGCTTTAGACTCTCATGCCTATAAAGAAATAATGGGCTACTTTATGTTTTTGAGCAATTAATGGCATATAAAAGTTGTACTTAAGGAAGATAGAAAAAGATCAAAGAGGATAAAAACATTAAAAATACAAAATTTTAGCAGCTTTATTATTTTATGCAACTAAAATTAGTTGATTAATTTGGAGATGTCTAATTATATAAATAAAGTGTTACAGGTTAGAGTATCTATATCTTTTTTTCAGTTTATTGTTTACTGTTTGAATATTGAAAATTCTTACTATAGAACTGTAATAGTCTTGAGAAGTTGCAGCTGTTATGCATACCCACACTCAAGCTATTTCATACAAATAAGGTTCTAGCTTTAATTTTAAATGCCTCGAGGCAAACAGCACAGTCTTTTTCTGGCTCAAATAGATCCAATTACCTCTAATGACCCTGCTACAGTTTATTGAGTGTCTATGATCCAGGTGCTTTTGCTGAAGTCTAAAGTCATATTTTATATCATTTTGTGAGAAGTCATCGACCAAATGAATAAAAATTACTGAGACTTTCCTCCACATTACTATTTCTTCATGTAAATATTTATTGAGCTCCTACTGTGTGTAAGTGAATATGCTAGCCCCTCACAGAGAAGAGAAAAATGAACAAGACAGTCTGATCTCAGGGAGCTTATGCTTTGTTACAATAGAGCAAACATGCAAAATAGACTGAGCTTATAAAGAGCAAGAACAATCTCCTGACACACAGCAGGTACTTAATAAATGACTATTGACAAATTACACAAAAGGTAGACTATTTTAAGTACCACCAGAAGTAGGGATGGGGTGAGACAATGGGAACTCATAGTCTTGGGGTTATGAGAAAAAGTTTGTGAGGAAAGTTCTGAGTTCTTAATAGAAGTAAATGTTTGGAGGTCAGCAGGGCTGTGGATAATTGGGAAGGAAGTGTCTTATAGAGGAAACAGCCAGAAAAAAATTAAAAAGGTGGGCTAGCCTTGGACAAGTTTTAGAAACAGGGAATGGCTTAATTTGGCTGGAGGATAAGAGAATAGGGTTGATAAAGTTAGAAAGCTAAATGGCTGAAAACTACTTTCTGTAGGTAACTTGGGAGTCATTGAAGATTTTTAAGTAGAGAAGTACTAAAAAAGATCTTTGGTTTTTCTTTTAGCCATTATACTTTAATATGACTTAGGGTGATTCTTAAATAACACATTTCAACATTTAAAAATTCATGCAATAAAAACAGGCACCAAAAACAAAGACAAAATCAGAATAAAAAAACATGTCACAGCCTTTTCATTTCTCACCACTCTGGGCAGTAATGTCAAGAATCAAATGGATTATTTATAGTTCTCAGTTAGCCCTGGAGGTGGGTGCTCAGAGAAGTAGCCACACTTGGTGAGGGTGCTGAAATAGTTATAGACTTTACATTCCAGCGTATTTGAGTTTCTATTGACATTAGATCTACTATGTAACACAATTTTCTGGTAGAACATCATATAATCATGTTAGAAAATATTTTTTGTTAACATGTAAGAAAAATGTTAGATTTCTATTACTGTCTGCTCTTTGCCCTAAAGTTATGCTAGGAAAAATGTTATTTCCAATCATCAAGAGGAAAAGGTACACTATTCAAACAGTGCCGTCATTAAATAATTTTTCAAATGATGTTATCATATTCATTTGGTTTGTTCTGGGAGATATAATTTAAATGCACTCATATGTTAAGAATCCAATTAATTTTTAAATGTATGTTTAACCTAAACTGGCATAATATAAACTGGCATAAATTCTGGCTAAATTTTCAACTTTAAATTATTATTACAAGTAGATTATTTTACCTTAATTATCATGAGCTTATTCCTCAAAGTGTGCAAGTATATTTATGAAATTAAAAGTAATAAATGTCTACTATGATGTATTGCAAAAAATATTGTAGAATATTATTGTCCCCAATTCTTCATTCTTTTCTTGTTCTAGAATTGCACACCCTTTTGCAAAGTGATTTGGTATTATCTCCTTCTTACTAGGGTAGATGAAATATATTTCCGCACTTTATTGATGTTGGGCTTGGCCATGTGACCAATGTGAATGGCCAGAGAATGAGCAGGAGTTTCAATGTGCCAATGTGGTTAGGCTTGAGTTCTTGTGTTTCTGCTCCGTGAGAAAAATATGCTTGAGTAGCCTCTAGTCCCAGAGTGATGAAGACAGGTGGAACAGGTTTGAACCCAGTCCCAGGCCTGGAGTTTAGTCGAGCCTAGCCGAGTCCTGCCTGGTAAGCCCAGCTGAAATTAGAGGATCTGCAGCCACCCTACATATTTATAAATGGAAAAACAATAATGTTTGTTTTTGTAAGCCATTGATATGTTAGTGGTTGCTTATTATCCGTCATAATTGTAGCTAGAATTTATTATTACATATATTATTTTATAATATTTTGATAGCTATAGTTACCCAAATAATGGTAAGAAATAAATGAATAAAGCATTAAGACTATGGGATTTGTTATACTACATTGAATGTTAATTACATGTCCCAATATAAATGTCTCAGTAATGATGATAACATTTTGATGACTAAAAATATAGTCCTCTTGGGAAACCATTTTTTGTCTTTTGAGGCCTACAGGAAAGTTCAAAATGAAAAGATTGGGCTACATAGTTTTTATATAGAAAAACTTCAATTCATCTGAAAATTCCTACTTCTCAAACTAACATTTTTATAAATTTTCCTTTGTTATCTTAAAGCATAGCATTAAAAATTGCTTATCAAATTACATCATTTATCAGCCGTACATTGTAATCTCTTTATAATTGAGTTTTTAGTGAACATGATGCAGAGTATAAGTTACCTTTGTTCTACTGGAGACTTGTTTAAATTAGTGGCCAGAAGAAAAAATTTTGTAACTTTAAAACTATATGCCAATACGTGGCAGGAAACAGTTCCAATGTCATATGAGGATATGTTTAGGAATAACAAATCCAACTGAATAAGTTTCTCAATTTTAATGGATGGCCTACACTATTCAAATAAGCTCATCTAAAATTTTTAGCATGAATATATATATATATACATGTTAAAGTTGTGTAATTATACAGTGAATATTTCCATTTCAGATGTCAGAGACTTCTTGTCAAAAGCCAAGAACTATGAGTGAGTGGATTAAAATACTTTGTTCATAAACAAGTTGGCCTATTTTATTTGGCCTACTTTTTTAAAAAAGCAATTTCCTTTCACAGATAAGATAGCAGTTGTTGAACAATTAGCCTCATAAAATATTATTTCACAATAAGATGGGAAGAAATAAGGGATACCAAGACCATTTTCTTTCTATGAGATTAAAAACATTTTCTACATATTTGTCTATCGATGGCATAATAGACTCATTAAGTTAACGTTTCATTGTTACATAGCATCTCTAATTCAAATTTCTCAGTTTCAGAAAGAAAATCTTTTGTCAATATTTTGAATAGGTTCTAAGTGGAAGATTTTTGTTTGGTAAGATTTTCACATTAAAGTTTATGTATGATGTAGAATTGATTTAGTAAAAGCTATATTTAGTTAGCTGGTTAATTCTTGGATGGAAAAGAAAATAATTATAGCTAGATACTTCGCTTTTTAAGCATGTATTATTTTCTTGGATATTTGAACATCATAGTTACTTTGGTTTTTCTTTTTACAGGATCATAATAAGCCACTTCTCTCCATCCTCCAGTTAAGCACAAATATTTAATTTTGTAATTAATTATATATGTTTTTAAAATATAAAGCTTGCAGCACATAAGACAACATAATTAAGGACAAAGAAGACAAACTCAACTAATGAACACAGAGTTGAAAAATAGAATTCTGAAAAATTAAATGAACTCTTGCTTTGCATGTCAGTGAAAACCTTTTGTTATTTTCTGGCAGGATCTGGATAGACAGAAGCTTTCCCGTGTATTGACAGAACTGCAGAAAGCCCAATTAATTCTTCAACTTCACTAAAGTCTGTTTTTTTTTCCTTAGGAGTAATTCCAAACAATTCTAAAGCAAAAAGAAAGTATTCACAGTATAAAAAGTTTGGGAGTACTTTGGCTTAGTTTTATTTTGGACTTTGTAAAGGCAGTCAGAGAATGTCACAAACGCCAGCTTTAGACAAAATCTGCAGCACATTAGGCTTGGCAATTTACTCACATTAAAAAGATCAATTGTTAAGGTCATGGGAAGGAATTGCATGTCCAGAGAGTCAAAAGAGGAAGGTAGATGAAAATAAAATACTACAAATGTATAAAAGTGTGTATATTTTAGATTGCATGCAATTTTAGCATTTAAATTATATGGTATCTGCATTTGTGCCCTACTGATTTAAGTATAATAGTCATCTTCTCAACAATAGTGTAAACTCCTTGAAATAGGCTTTGCATTTTATAGTCTCTTTAACCCTTAACACAGAATCAAGGCTAATGCTGAACATTCAATAAATAAATATTGATTAATTGATTAAGATCATAATTCAAATTTGCTAGGACAATGCAATGTTAGAATGTTCATTGCAAACAATACAGTCATTAGGGGTTCAAACTGACACGACATGGATAGGTTTAGGTCACCTCAACATTGTTTGTTTATTTCTCATTTTAAGGTTGCTTTACTTGCCATTGAAGACAATTTTCACTGCAATTAAAAATATTTCTTTTCTATTTAGGTGTGTTCTGAGTACTTCTCTTTATTGTCTTTTTTTCCTTTGGTTTTGTGCAAAAAGAAAAAAAAACAACATTATAAGCTCTTTAAGAATTGCTTTCTTCACTTTCAGACACACAATTAAACCCTGTGTAGTGAGAAGACTCTGCCTTTTTGGAATCCTTTGATCCTCACTCTCCAACTAAAGTTTAGGAAGAAAGACACTATTGAAATTCAACACAGAGTTTTAAGGATTCCAGCCTTCACTCCTCTTGGCTCCATCTAGGAAAAGCGGTAAGTCAAAGAAAATCCTAATGACACGTGGTTAGTATTACTCCATGACATTTCAAAGCTAGAGGAGAGAGAAAATTTAGCATGCAGTTTGTTAATGTGTTTTGTATCCATTAAAGTCTCACCTTTGCAGCCCAGGGGAGAGAGGACATGAACTCTCTCAGACCAAGATCTTGTCATAAAGTTCTAAACAGCAGTATGGTTTTAGAAGGGCCACCCTCTCTTCCATGGACCACTGTATTCCTAGAAAAAGTTTTAGTAGACCTTTGACTTTGACGTTCTATGTGTTGAAATGTCGCAGCTTTGTTGCTGACGTATAGAATTGAGTTTGGCTATAACCTTGCCTCTGTCTGACTGCTTCACTGGAATTGGGTTGGTATTGGAACACAGGTCTCTTCTATAGGTCTATAACAGGAGTTGCCAAATCTTGTTGAGACAAAGGAATTGACTTACGGTATGTTTTCGAAGCCATGAATTATTTTTGTATAACCTTGTGATAAGGAGTAGAATTTTTACAAAAGGAGTAATAATTTTTATTAAACAGAACCTCTGGGCTTATTACTGGAGAAGAGGATCCTTGGTGATTGTACTGTTGGTTGTACTTGGCTCTAATTCAGGGGATATTGCTTTGGAAAAAACTACTGCTAACAGTCCCTGGACAAATATTTTCTGTGTCACTAACCGTTGAAAACCTGCCGTGATTTCAATGTATAGTAGGTGGTATATTAACTAACGTTCTCATTTGTATGAGAATTCCACATGGGTTCTCTTTTGGTTCGTTGGACATAGGTCAATGAAAAATGGGTATTGCTAGCACTAGGGAGCTTTCTATGCTTTATGTCTTTAAGCTCAATGAATCACTCTAACATCCAAATAGCATTGCACAATTTATACTTTCTAATCAGGAATATAATTTCACAACATTACGTTTGCAGCACGACCATAGCATTGTAATTTAGCATGCGTTTTGTTAATGTGTTTTGTATCCCATTACAGTCTCATCTTTGCAGCCCAGTGCCATATGTTACCAGTCTACAGCGAACCTCTTAAGCAAAAGGAAATAAAAACTGGTAAAATTACACTAAGACATATGCTATTTGTTACCTACCGACAACCAACCTCCTCTTCTTATTTCCTTACTGAACCCTAATTTTGTTCAAGTTTGGGGAAAATGTTCTAAGCAAAGATGTGCCCTACTCCCCGTGTGTCCGGAATTGGTGGGTTCTTGGTCTCACTGACTTCAAGAATGAAGCTGCAGACCCTCGCGGTGAGTGTTACAGCTCTTAAGGTGGCGCGTCTGGACTTTTGTTCCTTCTGATGTTCGGATGTGTTCGGAGTTTCTTCCTTCTGGTGGGTTCGTGGTCTCGCTGGCTCAGGAGTGAAGTCGCGGACCCTGGAGGTGAGTGTTACAGCTCTTAAGGCGGCGCGTCTGGAATTGGTAGTTCCTCCCGGTGGGTTCGTGGTCTTGTTGGCTTCAGGAGTGAAGCTGCAGACCTTCGCTGTCAGTGTCACAGCTCATAAAGACAGTGTGGACCCAAAAAGTTAGCAGCAGCAAGATTTATTGCAAAGAGTGAAAAAACAAAGCTTCCACAGCGTGGAGTGGGGACCACGGCGGGTTGCCACTGCTGGCTTGGGCAGCCTGCTTTTATTCTCTTATCTGGCCCCACCCACATCCTGCTGATTGGTAGAGCCCAGCGGTCTGTTTTGACAGGACGCTGATTGGTGCGTTTACAATCCCTGAGCTAGACACAAAGGTTCTCCACCTCCCCACCATATTAGCTAGATACAGAGTGAAGACATAAAGGTTCTCCAAAGCCCCACCAGAGTAGCTAGATACAGAGTGTCGATTGGTGCGTTCACAAACCCTGAGCTAGACACAGAGTGCTGATTGGTGTGTTTA
The DNA here is from genome assembly GCF_000001405.40 of Homo sapiens. Classification (NCBI taxonomy): domain Eukaryota; kingdom Metazoa; phylum Chordata; class Mammalia; order Primates; family Hominidae; genus Homo; species Homo sapiens. The sequence goes on from NC_000003.12 coordinate 81,811,839, forward strand.
CAAACCCTGAGCTAGACACAGGGTGCTGATTGGTGTATTTACAATCCCCGAGCTAGACATAAAGGTTCTCCACTTCCCCACCAGACTCAGGAGCCCAGCTGGCTTTACCCAGTGGATCCCGCACCGGGGCTGCAGGTGGAGCTGCCTGCCAGTCCCACGCCCTGCACCCACACTCCTCAGCCCTTGGGTGGTCGATAGGGCTGGGTGCCGTGGAGCAGGGGGTGGCGCTCGTCAGGGAGGCTGGGGCCGCACAGGAGCTCACGGAGTGGGTGGGAGGCTCAGGCATGGCGGGCTGCAGGTCCCGAGCCCTGCCCCGCGGGAAGGCAGCTAAGGCCAGGCGAGAAATCGAGCGCAGCGCCGGTGGGCTGGCACTGCTAGGGGACCCAATACACCCTCTGCAGCCGCTGGCCCAGGTGCTAAGCCCCTCATTGCCCGGGCCGGCAGGGTGGGCCGGCTGCTCCCAGTGCCGGGCCTGCCGGGAACTCCAGCTGGCCTGCAAGCGCCCCAGTTCCTGCTCGCGCCTCTCCCTCCACACCTCCCTGCAAGCTGAGGGAGCCGTCTCCGGCCTCGGCCAGCCCAGAAAGGGGCTCCCACAGTGCAGCGGTGGGCTGAGGGGCTCCTCAAGTGCCGCCAAATTGGGAGCCCAGGCAGAGGAGGCGCCGAGAGCGAGCGAGGGCTGTGAGGACTGCCAGCACGCTGTCACCTCTCACCAGCACAGGGTATGAAACATGAAGGATATATGTCACAACCTCATTCTGTTTTCATCAGGGATTCAGTTGGGGTTTGCCTTTGACTGAGGTCTGGCCAATAGGAGCTGAGAGAAAGTCTGTTGCAGGACTCCTGGGAAAGGTTTCTTCCTAATAAAAGAAATATGCATGAGGAGAAAATACCTCCATCTCTTTCGTTTCCTGCCTTTGGATGCTGTTATGAGGATGTGATGCATAGAGTTTCTACTGCCTAGGGGTCGAGGATGAGGAAGACTGAAGACGTGCAGAGCCTGGCAAAGCAGGGAGGTTAGAAAGAGCTTAGATACTTTAAGGCATTGTTAGGCTACTGAGCCAATTCTTAGATCTACTTCTCCCTGGACTTCTTGGTGAATGTCATAATAAATGCCCTTATTGTTTAAGCCGCATTTAGCAGGGTCTTCTGTTACTTACAGACAAAAGCATTCTGACTGATAAAAGAAGTTAGTTAAAAGAATGCAGCTCGTTCCAGTGTGGCTGCTCCTCTCACGGGCAAATGCAAGGCTAAAAAAATAAAAAAATGGCCGGGCGCAGTGGCTCACGCCTGTAATCCCAGCACTTTGGGAGGCCGAGGCGGGCGGATCACGAGGTCAGGAGATCGAGACCATCCCGGCTAAAACGGTGAAACCCCGTCTCTACTAAAAATACAAAAAATTAGCCGGGCGTAGTGGCGGGCGCCTGTAGTCCCAGCTACTTGGGAGGCTGAGGCAGGAGAATGGCGTGAACCCGGGAGGCGGAGCTTGCAGTGAGCCGAGATCCCGCCACTGCACTCCAGCCTGGGCGACAGAGCGAGACTCCGTCTCAAAAAAAATAAATAAATAAATAAATAAATAAATAAATAAATAAATAAATAAAAATTAAGAAGGTATAACTGGTTTACTCATGAGCTTTTTGTGGAGCTGGTAGTTTAGAACTCGAAATGAATTTTCCCCACAGAAATGTTATAAATGGTGTCTGGGTTCCCAAGGTAAGCCCATAAGGCCTATTTAATCCAATAATGCCATAAAATCTGTACAGTCTAGTAGAACTGAATCACCTTGAAAAACAATGTTTCCTTTGGGACAAAAATTAATTGAGAACAAAATGCAAAGATCCAGCTTGGAAAAACATAAAATCATCATGCTAATAACAATAAAATTGAGGACTTCTCACCCCTCAAGGATTGGGCAGTACGTACAGTTATTAACCCAAAGGCAATGTTTATACCTGTTGCTTGGGAGTCAGTGTGAGAGGTCAAAGGCTAGACAGTAATACAGGAGAAAGGTAGAAACTTGGTAAAGGGGTGGGGAGGTGGGCACTAAATGTTTTCTTTCCCTATTACTTCTCAGTGCCAAGAGTTTATCTGCCTGTTTCTGTAGGTTTCTAATAAAACAATCGTCTTCATCTCTTTTCCCTGAAGTATTCCTAACTTGTGACACTTTTAGGGAGAACTAACAGTATTATGTTGGCGTCATTGCTTACCTGGTTTTGTCAGTCTGAATACCAGATCCTTGATGTTGATGGTGAGGTATCGGCCACCACTTAAGGTATCTATATATAAAGGCTATTTAACCTGGTATGAAGTGGCAAGATATTTTGCTGATATTAATTTGTCCTATGTTCTCACCACATGAACCTGGAAGATGTGAGAAGTCTTGCTCATCACTTCTTCCAAAAACTTGAGAAGGTTGTCAGGTATTGTGCTCTGAGTTCTGAACTCTTTGCCTTGTGAAGGTCTTGACTCATTTTTGTGGCAGGAATAAATGCTAAACTGGTCAGAGTCCCAAAAGAACACTGCGTCTACTCTTTGTTGGATTGTTTTGTCTTTAAAGCCTAAACTTGTGGAGGGGGAAGGTAGACAAACTGGGGAGAAAAAGGGCTTTTATGGGCTTTTCTGGGGTTTCCTCAGAAGCTTAAGGAGTCAATGAGGATGTGGGGTGCCTTTTGTTGAATGACAGAGATCTGAGGCCTTTGCCTACTCAGAGGCCTTGAGATGTGAAAAGATCTTTGATAAAGTAAACATTGGGATAACAGGAGAAAAAAATGAATTCTTGTGATAGACAACAAAAATTATTAAAATGTTGATAAAACTGTACATAGTTGCTCAAATGTAAATTATATATAAAGGATATATATCCAGTATGTCCCTAAAAACTTCTATGATATTTCCAGTGAATTCCTGAGCCCTTGTTAATATGAGGATGATTTCTACCACATCACACTTAAAGTCTCCTTCATACGCAACCCAGTATTATGAGGGTTGCTGCTAGAAATTTTTTAACTGAAAATAACCATAAGAAGTAGCAATGTGGATTAGGTGAATGGTTCCTCCTTTGCTATTTCAACATCTTTTCTTTTACTTAAACCTTCATTTCTATCCTCTATAATTGCAGGAGCTATGTGTCCCCTGCCTCTAAAGGAAGGGACAAGAATGAGCTCCTTGGAGACTTGAGGGCTGATGAAAAAGAGCACTCAGACACATTATGTCTTATACAATTACATTTCATGCAGTAAGCTCAAAGTACTTTCTCAGCCAAACATCTGAGAAAATATTATGCTGATGGAAGCTCCTTCTCCAGGATCCTAGTTTCTTTATAGGAAATGTATTTGGATCCCAGCAAGGGTCATCTGCCTGTCTGAGGTACAGCCTCCCAGGTCAGGGCCATTCTTGGTGGGGTTCATCAAGAGTAACATAGTAAAAATTTTCTATTGCTGTGTAACAAATTACTTCAAATTAAGTGGCTTAAAACAACACATATTTCTTGTCTCACATCTGTGGGTCAGGAGTCTGACCATAGTTTAACTAGGTCCTGTTTAGGGTTTTATAAAATTGCAATCAAGATGTTCAAAGAGTTGTTTTCCCATTTGAAGGCTTGGCTGGGGAAGAATCTGTTTGGAAGCTCTTTCAGCTTGTTGGCAGCATTCATCTTCTTGAAGCTGTATGACTGTTGCGGGTTTTGCTGGGTGTCATCTGGAGACCACCCTTAGGTTCTAGAGGGCACTTGCAGTTCCTACAAGTCACCTCCAGTTTCTTGCTGTGTAGGCTTCCTTACCCATGGCTGCTTACTTATTAAGCCAGCAAGGAGAATCTCTTTCTCTATCCTGCTAACACTGAGTCTCATGTAACATAACATAATCATGAGAATGGCATCCTATCACCTTTCCCTCATCTTATTGATCAGAAGCAAGTCATAGGTCCCACATACACTCAAGATGGGAGATTACATAAAGGCATGGACACAAAGAGACACCAGGAGGTGCAAATCATTGGAGTTTTCCTTAAGTTCTGTTCATCACACCAACTTTATTAAATCCTAACCACACTCCACATCTCTGAAATAATTACCTGATATAAGAGCAAAAGTTGCCTTTAGCATTTCTTCCAGATCCAGGTTCTGTATTACAATTTTTACTTTGTCATTTGCATTATCTTGTACCATAACATTTCAACAATGTAATACTAAGAAGTCTGTACACAAGTACAAATAAGGCCAAGAAGACATTGGATCTTCAAGGCTTGGGCTTGGCCTACCACATGTCAGCCCTGCTTCTGAAAGCCAAGTGGAAGAAGTATACCAGAAAGGTACAACCAGTTCATTGCATCTTTGCTACCATAGGTTACTATTGAACATTATTGGTTCTCTAGTGATGATACATTAAATGGTTCAGATCCTTGGGCAGATTATGCTGGTATTCCATATTTGAGCCCCAAATCATAGCTTTCTGTCACTGTTTCTGCAGTTATAAATTAGAACAATAAGGAATTTCTCTCCTTAGGAAATTCCACTGAGCCCAAGTCAACCATATATACTCTCTCTCTTCCCTGACAGCGAACTCTCCTTAGGGATCTTATGTGTCAGCAGAATTTAGTCAGGGCTATCTTCTCCTGGGTTTTTCCTAATTTAAATGGCTTTTCCTAATTTCTCATCTCAGGAAAGTGGTTGAAATTTTGCTTTCTTTATTTACCAAGAGTTTCTTATGCAAACTGGTGCACCCATGTTGGGGGCTCTGATTACCAAGAGTTAGGTGAAACCTGCTAAATCTAGTGGAAGATTTGTTCACTTAGGAGTGACTTTATGCCTTACATTTGCATAAGTGTGTAACCGCACAGAGTAGAGAAGATCAGCTCCAAGACAGCTTTCTTTCTTTCTTTTTTTTTTCTTTTTTTAACCTCTGCTTAAACAGAGAAGCAGCTGGTACTCTGCTCAGTAAAACAAATTAAAGCCCTGCCTCACCAGGCATTCCAGGCTCCCTGTTCCACTGGTATTTTATTATACGCAGCCTCAAAGCAGTCTTTAAGTACTGAGTCTTTATCAATTGAATTCTATGGGAGGTTTTACTCTTCTCCATTATGCTCTGCCAAATGCTGGCTGGAGCTGTGTGACGCTACAATTCTCTGTCATTCTATCCCCGGAAATCTTTGTCTGTGTTCTTTATGCATGTTGTGGCTATGGGAGCAGTGTTTTAAAGTCGCTTTGGTGGAAAAAACCCAAACTGAAAACAGCTACTCGACTGGGCAGAAACAAGGAGGCCATGACCTTTCTTCTTGGCACGTTAAACAGTCATTCTGGGAGGCAGTGGACCAGGTGTTACTGTTTAACTCTTTCACACAGTCTGATACCCTGTGGGTTACACAAGCACGTGGGACTTTTGAGATTTTTTTCCAGGGCCTTTAGTGGCTAATAAGTATGAGTAGGATGGGGAAGTTGGGTAAAAATGGTCCTGCTATGTTATTTATTCTCCCTACTCACCCCTCTCTCCAAGAATGCATGGACACCTAAATTTTAGATCTATTATTTTCTATTTAGATCTATCTGTGAACACATAAATAAATGCTAATGATGGCTTTTGAGTACTGAAGTTAGATGAATTTATATTTTAGAATGAAACTTGACTGAGACTTACCTGGGAATTTGATTACTTCAGAGTCAAAGATCTTGTTTGTGAAAAAATAAGAATGGGGAGGTAGAACAAGTGTCTGAGTTTGGAATGTCACCCCTTCCCTGATAAGAACCATGCACTAGAACTAGGGGACTGGGCTATGTGGAATGAACATAGTTGTTCATCATAATCTTCTTGATTCTGTTTACTCAGCTATTATTGGGTAAATTCAAGAGAAAATTGGGGATAAGAGATAGTCACAGGAAGGATTAGTTGACTGGAAAAGAAAAGAAAATTGCAAAGGAAATCCAAAAGCCACAACAGAGGAGAGTGAAGGGGATGAGAGTTTCTGTAGGCACTACTCTTCAAAGATGTAGCTGTTGCCTTATAGCCTTTTATATATAAGATGAGCTAGCTTGTGTGGAGCTAGCTCACCACCTGCACACACACACACACACACACACACACACACACACACACGTAGCTCACGTGAAACTGCCTTGGGTATTATTTTGGCTAATATAGCTGATGCAGCTCATAATGGTCCAAGTTTTTAGTTACAGACAACAGAATCCTCTCTAGTTAATGAAAGCAGAAAGTGATTTATTAAAAGATAATGGTAGCTCATAAATCACTGGGATAGTTGAAAATAAGTTTGAAGCTGAATGCTGAAACACCTCTCCAAACCATTTCACAGAAATGGAGTACCCAGGGAGCTGTTGCCTCTGCTGTGATCAGGAACTTGCTGAATCAGGGAGCTGCTCTTATAACTGGGTGCTCTAGAATAGGTACCTCTGCCAGTAACTATATCAGTAATACGGTGTATCAGTAAGATGGATTTTATATTGCCTGCCTTTTCATGTGACTAAGTTCTAAATTAAATACTTATGCCACTGTGCAAAACCTAAGTCATATCTTGAACCTTAGCTGCAAGGGAATCTGGAAAGTGTCATTTTTTTTTCTTATTCTTCTAGTCTCTGCATGCTAGGAATTAAAAATAAGTGTTGATTAAGACACACTACTGTATTCTGCCACTCTATGGAACTTAATAGTCTACAAAAAGATCCTTATTCAAAATGAAAGAAAGGATGACCAAATTTAAGTAAAAGAACAACAAATAAGGCAGAACAAAGCCAAAACAAGAAAGATGGGGAATATAACCTAGATCTGAATTCCTGACTTATGTAGATCCACCCATCAATAAGAAACAGCTATTTTGGACTTTCTGTGAGAAAAAAAGAAACTTCTGTTGTGATGAAACAATGAGGTCTGGGGTTATCTGTACAGCATTTAACATTACCCTAGCTAAGGCATCCTAGTCATTGATGTTTCTCCTACTAAGCCTACAGTTCACTAACCTGTCTTCTACAATCTAGCCAGAATGATGTTTCTGATCATTGTTAGCGTGGTACATAAACTCCTTTGAGACCTTTTCCCAGCCTCTCTCTCCAGTATCATTTCTTGAAAATTCCCTCCAGATTTACTCCATGTTTCAAAGGATACAATTACTGACTGTTCTTACTGGTTATTGCTCCTATAGCTTTGTAAATGGTGTATCCTCTTCCCAGATGCTTTCCTTATCGATATATTTTTCCCTTCAATGACATTAATTTTCCATCCTCTACAGTAGAACTTTTTCTGAGCATTTATTATATTGTGATTTTATTACTTCTTTACTTATCCTTCTCCTCTATTATAAAATGATCTCCTGGAAGACAGATCTATCTTATTCAACATGTTATCTCAGTACTTAATGTAGTGCTAGGTAAATGATTGATTCTTATTAAATTCATTAACTCATTAAACATGTTTGGATTATATATTATATGAAAAGACAGGCAATAAACATGCAGATAAATACATATGCAACAATTTTAAAATATAGGTGTTATAAAAATAAAAACTCATGGGACAGAGAGAGGCTGAAGTTGAGGTTGGGAATTGCTCCATAAGCTTAACAAAGTTTGAATCCTTTAAACTCTGTGCTTTAATTTCCTCATCTATTAAATGGGGATGATGATAGAACATATATCATCAGTTCTTGAAATAATTAAATGAGTGTATACATCTAAAATGCTTAGTGAAGAGCCTGGCACATAATAAGTGCTATATAATTGATTGCTATTAATTATTGTAAATTTATCTTCTTCATATAAATTAGAAAAATGTGTCTTCTTCCTGTAAACTAAAGAAATTCAACGTCTTCATATAAATTTTGGTTTTAACTTAAACCAGACATAATTAAGATGCTAAATGTTCTCATAAAAACTCTTTCCCTCTCACACAATTAGATAATGATTTCTAAAGCAGGTTTATGTGCATATGTGTATAGTATGTGTATGCCAGTGTAATAGGGTGCCTGCAAGTGTGTATATATTTGTACATGCCATGGCTTCTGTGTTAGTCTGTTTGCATTACTATAAAGGAACACCTGAAACTGAATACTTTATGAAGAAAAGAGGTTTATTTTGGCTTATGGCTTGGCAGGATATCCAGGAAGCATGTGTTGGCATCTGCTTCTGGGGGCGCTCAGGCAGCTTACAATCATGGCACAAGGGAGAAGGGAAGCTGATACAATGTATTACATGGCAAGAGGGGAATCAAGAGAGAGAGGGAAGAGGTGCTAGGCTCTTTTAAACAACCAAGTCTCACATGAACTCATAGTGTGATAACTCAGTCATTACTGCAAGATAACCTTTATGTTCTGCTTCCTTTTTATTCATAAGCTCCAACTTTAAGTCATTTCTTTGCTCCCATATCTTATCATTGGCTGTTAGAAGTAGCCAGGCTACTTCTTTAACACTTGGCTGCTTAGAGATTTCTTCTGCCAGGTATCCTAAATCATCATTCTTAAATTCAAACTTCCACAGATACGTAGGGTAGGGACACAATGCACCCAAGTTCTTTGCTACAGAGTGACAAGGATAATTTTTGCTTTTGTTCCAAATAAGTTCATCATTTCAATCTGAGACCTCTTCAGTTTGGCCTTCACTGTCCATATTTCTATTAGCATTTTGGTTATAACCATTTAACCAGTCCCTCAGAAGTTCCAAAATTTCCCTCATCTTCCCATCATCTTCTGAGGCCTCCAAACTCTTCCAGCCTCTTGCTGTTACCCAGTTCCAAAGTACTTCCACATCTTCAGATATCTTTATAGCAATGCCTTACTTCTCAGTACCAATTTTCTATGTTAGTCCATTTTGTGTTACTATAAAGAAATACCTAAGACTGGGTTATTTATGAAGAAAAGACATTTATTTTGGCCCATGGTTCTGCAGGCTATACAGGAAGCATGGTGCTGGCATCTGCTTCTGGTGAAGGCCTCTGGGAGCTTACAGTCATGGTGGAAGGTGAAGGGGGAGCTGGTGTATCATACGGCAAGAGATGAAGCAAGAGAGAGAGGGAGGAGGTGTCAGGCTCTTTTAAACAAGCAGATCTCATATGAACTCATAGAGTGAGAACTCACTGATTACCACTAGGACAGCATCAAACCATTCCTGAAGGATCCATCCGCATGACCCAGACACCTCCCAGGAGACTCACCTCCAACTTTGGAGGTCACATTTCAGGTGGAAAAAACATCCAAACTATATCAGCTCCTGTGGAAATAATATGGTTTGAGGAGGAATCAGACACTTATTATTACATTATTTTTGTACTAAGTTTATTTTCATATAATTTTAGAAGTCTATTTTACAACTTAATACTAAAATTTGAGTTAATTATAGCTAAAATTTAATACTAAAATTTGTTAGTGAATTAAAAATGTCAAATCAAAATCAACCCTTACAATCAACCATTGAATAATTTAATGTATATATTGTTCTTCAAAAGTAAATCACATGAACAGCGGGAAGTCTCCCTTTTAACATCATCCTTCCAATTATAATACATGCTTCTGTCATATTCATGCATTTATAATCTTCCCCCACCATGTTGAATAGGTGTAAGTTGTTTCCATTTAAACTTATACAGATCTATTATTTTGTCTTTTGCAGGTTTCTTTTAAACACAATTACCTTGAAGGAAAAGATTAGTTTATGAAAGGAATTTATGCAAAAATGAAAAAAAAATGATGCTCGAGTTGCTTTTCAGTTTTAGAGGGTTTTTTCTCCATATTTAAAGACTGCATTACATAGTCATTCATTCTGTAAATTAAACCTTTGATTCCTAGTAGCATTATGCAAAGCTAGTATATTGTACCTATTTGCAAATACATTATATTAGTGAATGGTGTCTTTTTCTTTGCCTAAATTGCCAAAATGTTTCCACAATATAAAAAGGACATCTTAAATGTTACCAAAATAGAAAGTTTTTGTATGAGCTATACAATATAGAGTGTAGTCACTCCAGGTGCCCAAAGATATGTGGAACTATGGAAGAAAAGAAGCAAAAGCCCTCTGAAAAAGTTAAAGGCACACTATATAAATATCATGGAAAAGTCACCCAGGGACACCTAATCACTGAAGCACCGCTACTGAACATAAACATAAAGTGTAGTTTCATAAAACTAGGCTTTGGAAAAATTTTCCCAATCCTACCCTTTTCTTGCTCCAAAAGTAACTGTTGACACTTCAGATTCATCTCTTTATGATGGAAAAAATCATCAAAAACAGAGCAGTGGAAATGGGGCAAAGCTGCAGTTGCTTACAAATTCCAGACCATTTTGTCACTGTATTTTGAACAGCAACTGACATAGAGTGTTAACACTCTTGTATTCTCCTCATTCTATAGATTGTATTTTCATGGGACAGCACACAATCCCAGGGATGGAACAGAACCTGAAAAGACGTGGCATTTAAACAGCTAAGATGTTTCTCTATCTCTTTATCTAGTCTTAACCACTGTCTTTAGTAAACAGAGAATTAAAAAGAAAAAGAAGGGCTTGAAAAGGCCTTTATACTATTTGTGAATAGACAATGGAGTTTTTCAAGGCGACAAGCAATCCGAAAGGAGAAGAGGGATACTCTTTCCCCTAAGAATTTAAGAAGAAAGTGGACTTGGATGTGTTATTTCTTCTAAAGTGTTGTGCAACTGAAGGTGTGTTCATAGGGTAAACATCCTGTCAAACACACCTACATACACATACACAAACAGACAACAGAAACTGTTTATGAAAAAATGCTTAAGTATTAGCAGACAGCTACTATTAAAATGAAACTGCATATCTTCCTAAGTATTTATTATAATATTTGTATGTGTAAGTGTTGTAAATTAACTAGTAAGAGAAAAAAAGAATGATGAACAATCTAATATTCAATATTATTTTTACAACGTGTATGTATATAAAAATAAAGCTTACCCTCCTGGGTGATTTGACCATTTGCTGTACAAGACCCTTTCTCACATATTCTCTTGGAATTCTCACAGCAGTTTTAATCCACATAATTTACCTCCTTTATCTCTCGGAGACACTGATGAGGTCCACTTTGTTTGTTTGTTTTTGAGACAGGGTATCATTCTATTGCTCAGACTGGGGCAGTGGTGTTATCATGGCTCGCTGCAGCCTCGACCTTCTCGGCTCAAGGGATTCTCCTACCTTAGCCTGCCAAGTAGTTGGGACTACAGGTGCAAGCCACCAAACTCAGATTTTAATTTTTATGTATTTATTTGTTTTGTAGAGATGGGGTCTCACTATGTTGCCCAGGTTGGTCTCAAACTCCTGGGCTCAAGCCATCCTCCTGCCTCAACCTCCCAAAGCGCTGCAGGGGAGGTCACACCAAAAAATCTGTTTTCAATGAGTTCTATACATGTGACAGAAGACAAATGAAAGAATACTTTAGTCTCTTGGGCAGACATTGATCACCACAGGCCTGGGTATGACCTTGCAAGCCCTTGAGTGGCGAAAGGCCCTGGCAGGTCTACTCTGGTGTTGAGCAGTGTCTGTTTACCCCAGAGTGCAGTATAAAAATTATCATTTTAAGATAGGAAAACATTGCCCTAAGGAAGCCCTGATTTTCTAGGCTTCAGAGTTCCTTTGAATTTCTTTATTTTGCGCAGATAGTCTTTGATTATACTCTGTTGTATCTACCTCTATCTCTATTTTTATCTATATCTGTTCCACAAATATTTCTTGAGCATATACAATACACCATGCACAGTACAAATAAACAAAATATGATTTTGATGAATACTGTGCAGATAAGCAAAGCCTAAAGTGAAAACATAGTTTGTGACAAGTAATGACTAGAAACTTTGTTTAATTTATACAGTATTTCTATGTTATGAAATAAGCCTTTTGCTTTTTCCAAAACTGCAACCATTCTTTCTTTAGGTCAGTTTAATTTCCTTGCTCTTCTTCTAAGTATGAAATGCTGTTATTTGTTTTCGTCTATAAACTAGAGTACACCAACTGGATTATCTGTTACTCTCAATATTATTGATTTGAAAGATCCTCCTCTTGGTATTTCTAATGAAACAGCCAAAATATCCTAGTATTTCTGTTTGTGATGATTCAAAATCAATGAAGCAAGCTATTTCCCTTGAATGCTGTTATCCATGACAAAGGAGCTAACTGCTTAATTCCAGGGGTCTGTTATTATTTGTAAACTGGTTCTTAAATAAGGATACTTAGAGATGCCTCTTGCTCCAGATGGTACCATTTAACTGCCTGTGTTACTCATGAGTGATTTTCTGCTTTAGCTTTAAACAAATACTTAACGCAGCAATTCTGTTATCAAGAATTCTCTCTCAAAATTGGAACAAAATCCTGAAGTGCTGCATGAAGTGGCAGCACAAGCAATTTCCTCATGGGTTAAAAATAAACGGAGCATGACTGTGCTGGTAGGTAAAAAAGGGAACTGTAGCCAACTAGAAAGAGAAAAGACCTCTGGTCTGTCTGAAGACCTGAGTGCAAATCTTTGCTTGACAACTCATTACCCTGTGACCTGGGTAGATCACAGAAAAGTAGGGATTAGGTCATTCTTTTCATATGATTTGTTTATGAACTAAATAAAATAATATTTTTCCATCACTATTTCTGATGAATGTTAATAGATGTTACCAGAAAAAAAAGCTTCCATGGTTGTAATCATTTGAGAAACACTAAGTTAAACCAGGAATTAAGTTTTTAAATGTGAAACACTTCTCAGTCTTTACAATGCTCATATGTTTTGTGACTTTTAGAAAAGACATAGGTGATATGTTTTCTAAATATATTTGGCTCACAGCCAGCAATATCCTATGGAATACACTTTGGGAAATGCTATCCTAATCTCGAAAGTGCTGTTCAAAGGTAAGCTGTTAAAAATTTAGATGTTAACAATATTTACCTGGAGCCTATGTTTTACTCATTTGTGTTTTGAAAGATCTTATTTTTTAAAAAATGATTCCTTTTTTTCTTGAGCTGCCATAGGTAAGTTTAACTTCCTTTTTCTCTTTTTTCTAACTACGAAACTTTGTTTCTTGCCCATATCCGTGAACCCAGAGTTAAAAAAAATGTAATTCCTACCTGATTATCAAAATAAACCCATTATATATAATATTTTAAAATAAATTTGTTAGCATTTATGATAGGTAGTACATCAAGTACTTAAAAATAAACAAATGAAAAGGAAAGCAAAACAAAACAAATTTGTGTCTACAGTTCGGAGAACCCTAGCTGTACTTCTCAGCTTTGTGCTTAAAATGTAACCAGACATTATTTTTGCCTTCATGGAATTTCTACTCTAGAATTTTATCATAATGTAAGCTGAAACTCTGTATAAATTTTAATGCTATTTTTGCATTCCTCTTGGTAATGCATTCAAAATGTTAGAATATTTGAAAAACAGCTCAAGTACTGGATAAAAATCTTGGATTCAAATTCTAAAGGGTCACTTACTTGCTCTATGATTGCTACAATTTACTCAGCCTCAGTTTTCTCATATATTAAATGGTTATAGTGATACCTACCTTCTAGAATAGTTGTGAAGCACAAGTAAGGAAATTATTAGATGACACTTACTGACATGCATTTGTTACTCTTGAGGGATAATAGAAGAGAAAGTAATATATGTACCTACTAAAATAAAAATGACTTTTGGTTATTTCCTGAATTAGGAAAAAAATACATACATTTCTGAATTAGGAAATGACCACAAGTGCCCAGTTTCTAAAAATTAGAAACAAATATATTTTTATTAAAGTAACTCTAAATGACAGTGCAGTGAATTTCAGTTTATATTTCAAAGAACAATACAAAATAGCTAATCTATGCTGCATATCTGTGTCTATGGAAGTCTTTCTTTTAATCTTTCATATTTCTTTTCCATGCCCTTTTACATGTTCATTGTTACTTAGCTCACATAATAGGGTTTGAATTTTGGTACCCCTCCTTTAAAAATGCTAAACTATCTTTGTTTTTTTTAATTGATATATAATAGTTGTACATGTTTTGGGAATACATGTGATATTTTACATGTATACATGTAAAATGTGTAATAATCTAATCAGGGTAATTGGAATATTAATTGTCTCAAACATTTACCTTTTCTTTGTGTTGGAAACATTACAATTCTTCCCTTCTAGTTATTTTAAAACATACAGTAAATTACTGTTAACTACAATCTCTCTACTGCACTATTGAATTCTGTAACCTATTTCTTCTTTTTAAATGGAATGTTGTATCCACTTACCAACTTCTCCATCTCCTCCCTTTCCTCCCTACCCTCCCCAGCCTCTGTTAACTATAATTCTACTCTCTACCTCCATGAAATGTACTTTTTTAACTTCCACATGTGAGTAAGAATATGTGGAAATTGTCTTTCTGTGCCTTGCTTAACATAATGACCTCCAGTTCCAACCATGTTGCTTCAAATGACAGGATTTTATTCTTTTTTATTACTGAATAATATTCCATCGTGTATATACACTGCATTTGCTTTATCCATTCACTCACTGATGGTTGATTCCATATCTTGGGTATTGCGAATAGTGCTGCAATAAACATTGGAGTACAGGATCTTCTTGATGTACTGATTTCCTTTATTTTGGATATATACTCAGCAGTGCGATTGCCGGATCTCATGTGATACGGTTTCGCTCTGGGTCCCCACCCAAACCTCGTCTTGAGTTGTAATCCCCATGTGTTGAGGAAGGGACCTGGTGGGAGGTGATTGGATCATGGGGTGGTTTCTCCCATGCCATTCTCGTGATAGTTTATGAGTCCTCATAACAGCTGATGGTTTTAATGTGTGACATTTCCTCACTCTCTTTCCTGCCACATTGTGAAGAAGGTGTTTGTTTCTCCTTTGCTTTCGCCATGATTTTAAGTTTCCTAAGGCCTCTTCAGCCATGCAGACCTCTTTTTGTTTATAAATTCACAAAAGTCAATTAAACTTTTTTGTTTATAAATTACCCAGTCTCAGCTAGTATTTTTATAGCAGTGTGAAAACGGACTAATGCAACATGGTAGTTATATTTTTAGTTGTTTTGTGTTTCCATAGTGGCTGTGCTAATTTACATTCTCACCAACAGTGCACAAGCAGCATCCCCTTTCTCTGCAACTTTGCCAGAACCCATTATTTTTTGTCTTTTAGATTATTGCCATTTTAACAGATGTGAGATTATATTTCATTGTGGTTTTAATTTGCAGTTCTCTGATGATTAGTGATAATGAACATTTCTTTCATATACCTGTTGGCCATTTAATTTTTATGTTTTGTTTTTGAGAAATGTCAATTTTGGTCTTTTGCCCATTTTTTAATGATTATTTTTGTTATGGAGTTATTTGAGTTCCTTTTGTATTATGGTTATTAATCTCTTGTTGGATAGATAGTTTGCAAATATTTTCTCTCATCCTGTAGGTTGTCTCTGTATTTTATTGATTGTTTCTTTTGCCATGCAGAAGCTTTTTAGCTTGATGTAATTTAATTTGTCTATTTTTCCCTTTGAGGCCTATGCTTTCAAGCTCTTACTCAAAACACCTTTGCCCAGAACAATGTCTTGTAGCATCTTCCCAGTGTTTTCTTCTAGTAGTTTCACAGTATCAGGTCTTCCATTTAGGTTTTTAATCCATTTTGAGGTGGCTTCTGTATATGGTACCTGATAGGGCTCTAGTTTCATTCTTTTGCATATGGAAATACATTTTTTTTCCAGCACCATTTATTTATTAAAGAGACTGTTCTTTCCCCAGTGTATGTTCTCAGCACTTTTGTCAAGAGTCAGTTGGCTGTAAGTGCATGGATTTATTTCTGGGTTCTCTATTCTGTCCCATTGGTCTATGTGTATGTTTTTAGGCACACACATAGACTAATGTTGTTTTGGATATTATAGCTTTGTTGCATAATTTGAAGTTTAGGTATTGTGATGCTTCCAGCTTTGTTCTTTTTCCTCAGGATTGCTTTAGCTATTTGGAATATTTTGTGGTTCCACATAAACTTTAGGATAGTTTTTTCTATTTCTATGAAGAATGTCATTAGTATTTTGATTGGTATTGCATTGAATTTGTAGACCACTTCGGGTAGTATGAACGTTTTAACAAAATTAGTTCTTCCAATCCATGAGCATAGGATACCTTTCCATTTTGTAGGGCCCTCTTTAATTTATTTCATCAGTGTTTTATAGTTTTCCTTGTAGAGATCTTTCACTTTTTAGTTAAATGTATACCTAAGTATTTTTATTAAATCCTAGTCTATCTTACAGCCTCTTTTAATTTTATGTTTCTGATGGTCTCAGGAATAATAATGGCTATATTAATTATTTTTATTTTAAAATTATTGTCTTCATCTTGAATTGATACTTTCTTCCAATTTCAGTGTC